>NC_000009.12:38797878-38949393 GCF_000001405.40 Homo sapiens | reverse complement strand
CCAGGATGATCTCGATCTCCTGACCTCGTGATCCACCCACCTCGGCCTCCCAAAGTGCTGGGATTACAGGCATGAGCTACGGCGCCCTGCCGCTTGGTCTGTCGTAACGTTAGGCCCTGGAACTTCTAAATAAGAACATAATTAGATACGTTACGTGCTTAAATAAACTAGATAAATGTGTGTGGGGTATACAAGCATAAAGCTAGATAAATGCACCTGGGGTAAAGGAAAACATGGTGAGAAACGGAAGGAAGTAGGGTTTCAAAGTATCTTTCAAGGCTATATTTTAAGACTAAGGAAAAACATTTCTAGAGATTGTTTCAAGGTTTCAACTTGAGACTGGGAAGAAAGGAAAAAGGAGAAAGAAGTTTTAAAGTGCTTTTTCAGGCAGGGCTGTTCGGTTACACTATTTAGGAGTTGGAGCAGCTGCCTCCAGATTTGTATGCACGCCTCTGCCCCTTTGTTTTCATGGCATGGCCATAGAACATGCCTTTGTCCATATCTTGCCCATAATCAAACCTCAGTTCCTGCAACTGCCCCCATAAACAGGCACTTATAACCCGCACATTCTGTGTGTCTTTATGTCAGCTGCCCCTTTCTGTTCTGGGTTACAGCTATTTACGTAAATGATTTTCTCCCCTCTACATCCTGTACATTACTTTGCAGCACAGAATCCCATCCATAGGTGCCTATCACAGTGCCCAGCACGTGACAGACCTCCATAGTAGGTATTCCATAAATATTTGAAAAATCACAAATTATTCTGAGAGGAGAAAGTGTGACATTGCTCCGGTGGCAGGACTTGTCTTGGAAAGAGAGGAAGAAGAAATTTTCACTCTGAAGGATAGGGAGAAATAAAGAGAAACTGATGTAGGAAACAATTTTTTTATTGAGAAGAGATCAGATACAATGATGCTGCAGAAAAGATCTTGCTGACAATTATTATTAACCACAGTGTTGTTGGTTTAACTTAAAAATCACTGTCCACAGACTTCCTAGAAAAAGGAACACAACATAATTGTATTTGGCAGTTCAGCCCCATCTTCTTCTTTTTTTTGAGACGGAGTCTCACTTTGTCGCCCAGGCTGGCTGGAGTGCGGTGGCGCGATCTCGGCTCACTGCAAGCTCCGCCTCCTGGGTTCACACCATTCTCCCGCCTCAGCCTCCGGAGTAGCTGGGACTACAGGCGCCCGCCACCATGCCCGGCTAATTTTATTTTTGTATTTTTAGTAGAGACGGGGTTTCACCGTGTTAGCCAGGATGGTCTCGATCTCCTGACCTCGTGATCCACCCGCCTCGGCCTCCCAAAGAGCTGGGATTACAGGCGTGAGCCACTGCCCCGGGCCAGCCCCATCTTCTTTAATCCTACGACCTCGATAGCTTTGCCCACAAAATATATTTACATTTTTTCCTTCAGTTTTCTACCTATTTTTCAACTCTTTTTGAAAGTCCTAAGACCCACTCTAAACCAGTTAATCATACAACCCATTGTTGAGTATCATTTATGTGACTAATTTCTGTCTTCCTTTTCATACGATTTCATGACGTTATATCTTACTGCATCCAAGTTTTATCTGTAGCTGTGTGTGCTGGCAGATAAAACATTAAATAAAATATGTGGCAAGATCTAAGTCTGTTGCCGTCATTTATGTGGGTCTTTTTCAGTGAAGTCATTAACATTTCTTTCAACATGTTAGCCATACACTTTTATTTATTATAACTTAATAAATTCACCGATTTGAGCCATTGAGTCACATTTCTTCAGCCTATGGAACACATTTTATAGAGCTATTATTCTCAGAGTAATAAGTTCATAGAGAATTGGGATGGGCAGTTGAAACATGGGTTACTTAACACCAGGAGACAGAAAAGCATGAAGAGCTAACTCGTATGCCTCTGAGTGTGTGGTCACACTGAACATGAGGGGTACCAAGGGCACATCTCCCCTTGCGCGATTCGTCTCCTTTCTGGGGGACCTGGAGAAGGGGAGGTAGGTGAAGAGGCTGGTATGGCTATACAATGTTTCCCACAGTGAGAAGATACCAGTTCAACAGTGCTTTTTAAATTATTCCCCACATCACTTCACCTTTCCTTTTTCCTACCTGATGCCGTGTTCTGGGACAATGGCTGCAACTGCAGGTGCCACAAACAGGAATGCCCCTGAAACAAGAATCTGTAACTATACTTTTAAACTTTGATGTCACAATTTCTAAGAAACTGGTAGAGCAGATTTTACCTTCACCCTGTCTGACAAGGCTGGAATTGACAGGGAATTCTGCTGTACTGCCTAGTGGTCGAGACAGCCCGCTGGTTCTGTACCTATGTAACCCTGCCCCATGGGCATGGGAATGGACGGAGAGGCACTTGCTACACTAGTGTTGCTTCTGGCAATCTGAACCAGCACGGGGGCCTCACCTAACATCCCTTCCGAAGGTAGAAAATTAAAACTAACTGGCTGGGCGTGGTGGCTCATGCCTGTAATCCCAGCAGTTTGGGAGGCCAAGGCAAGGCAGATCACGAGGTCAGGGTATCGAGACCATCCTGGCTAACACGGTGAAACCCCGTCTCTACTAAAAGTACAAAAATTAGCCAGGCATGGTGTCGGGTGCCTGTAGTCCCAGCTACTCGGGAGCCTGAGGCAGGAGAATTGCTTGAACCCGGGAGGTAGAGGTTGCAGTGAGCCGAGATGGAGCCACTGCACTCCAGCCTGCGTGACATAGTGAGACTCTGTCTCAAAAAAAAAATAAAAAAAAATAAAACTAACTGATAACTGGAGAAAAGAAAGAATAATCGGTGAGAGTAAATAAATGAATAAATGGGTTATGCAATGAAAACCCAATATTACATTGGTACCTTGTGTATTAATTGTAGTTTCTTATTTCTATATTCTTGGTGCTCTGGCATTTGGCCCTCACTGACTGTAGAGGGTAAAGCTCACTCCTAGAAATAGCAAACATGGCCCAGAAGCACGCCTTTCATATGCAAACCAGACGACCCACAGCCCAGAGCCCTCAACTCTTTCTTTTATCACGCGCAGACATCCAATCAATATTCCTCTGCCCCAAGTCATCTGAGAGACAGGAACCAGACAACTCTGGACAGCCTCTATACCCCAGGGCCCAGCGAAATTATTCAAATAGCCAATGCTAAATCTGCTTACCTTGCCTCACTCATTCTTTCCCACAGAAATCACAATACAGGCTAGAGCCCAAGAGCCCACATTTTCTTCCTGCTCCCTCTGCCTCCCGACCAACCTGGTGCTTCCCCAGGTGGCCCTGTGTGGCATGGAGTTCCTCTACCCCACTCCCCCAACCATAACTGTGAGTAACCACCCCCTCAACTGTGAGTAACAAGCTGTCTTTTGAAGTGCCTTCATCTCCTGATCTTTTGGCCTCACTATACCTGCATAGCAATGAAACCTAAGTTTTAAAACACCTTGAGATGGCCAGGCGCCGTGGCTCACACCTGTAATCCTAGCACTTTGGGAGGCCAAGGTGGGTGGATCACCTGAGGTCAGGAGTTGAAGACCAGCCTGGCCAACATGGCGAAACCCCGCCTCTACTAAAAATACAAAAGTTAGCTGGGCATATTGGTAGGAGCCAGTAAACCCAGCTACTTGGGAGGCTGAGGCAGGAGAATTGCTTGAACCCTGGAGGTAGAGGTTGCAGTGAGCCAAGATGGTGCCACTGAACTCCAGCCTGGGGGTTACAGCGAGACTCTGTCTCCAAAAAAAAGTAAAATGAAATAAAAAATAAAACACCTTGAGAGTGGCTCAGAGCAAGAAATGTGTTGACCTAGAAGGAGGAAGCTGAGGCAAAATTAGTATCAATGGAGTTTATTTGGGCCAAGCTTAAGATTGCAACCCAGGAGCATAAGATTGAAGTTGCCACCATATACATTCCATTTAGCAGCAGTTACAAGTAGGTTTATAAAGACAAAAAATGGGGGACAGGGAGTGGGCTGATACAAACTGGTTTGTCAGGAATCCTTACTGCTTTACAGAAATAACATTGATTAATGATTCGCTATACATCCTTAAGCTGTAGGGTGTGGCATTATTAAGTTAATTTACAGCTGCTGGTGGCAAAAGCAAGCAGTTCCAAGAGAGGAATACAGAGCTCAAAGCAGGGAGGAGGACGTGACTGCTGCCTCATTTTAATCTCTCTTTGGGCCTGATAATTAAAAGGACTTGCATTTCTCAGATAAGAGTTCTTTTCTTTCCTCAAATAAAATTGTCTCTTAGGAAAGTTATGCCAGTTGCCAGAAAGAGAAGCCAAGACTACTTCTGCTTTTGGAAACTTACAAGGTCAAATGGAAGCCTGCAAACCTGAATAACCAAAGGTCATGAGGCCTAATATGGTAGAAAGTCACTGGCCTGAAATCAGTCATTTCTAGTAATCTCCGGACTAGTTTCCTATTTTCACATTCATGATTCAGTGCTTTGGGGATGTTTTCTTGTGCCTGCAACTTTTACTTTAAGCCCTCACATAATAGCAATAACACGGTTTATTAAGTCTATCACTATGTTAAGCGTTCACATTTATATCTTCTGCAATTGTCCAGGAACCCTTCATGGTAAGCAAAGGTATCTCTACTTTAATAAGATAGAACCTGAGATATATAGAGAAAATAATTTCACAAAGTCACAAAGCTAGCAAGTGACAGAACCAGAGCTGTTTTCTTTGAATTCAGGCTCTATGTCCTTATACCAAAGCCCCTCTCAAGAGTATTTGTTAGATTCTCAAGTCTAGCCAAACAACCTTCTGCAAACCCAAATGATAATAGAGTACCATTCTTTTTTTTTTTTTTTTTTTTTTTTTTGAGATGGAGTCTCGCTCTGTCGCCCAGGCTGGAGTGCAGTGGCGCAATCTGGGCTCACTGCAAGCTCCACCTCCCGGGTTCATGCCATTCTCCTGCCTCAGCCTCCGGAGTAGCTGGGACTACAGGCGCCCGCCACCACGCCCAGCTAAAGTTTCATATTTTTAGTAGAGATGGGGTTTCACCATGTTAGCTAGGATGGTCTCAATCTCCTGACCTCGTGATCCACCCACCCCAGCCTCCCAAAGTGCTGGGATTACAGGTAGAGTACCTTTCTTATAGGATAAGTGTGTGTGTGCCTGTGTGTGTGCATGTGTGTATGTTACTCATTTGATGGGTACCACAGAGTTTTTTGAGTCAAAATGTGACTGGCAAAATGCTCTTAATTGAAGAAAACCACAGATGAACCATGTACAGTCTGAGACTCTTTCAAGTAACTGAAACAGCTCTTGTCCTCCCTTATAAGATCTCTGACAATAAACCTACCAATGTCTTGCATTCACAAAATGTGCTTTTTTTTTTTAGAACGTTGGTATGAATTGTATCTCAGTGAAATTAGAACCATCTCCCTCCTCAATTATGAGATTTGGTTGGTGACCACCGGTTTATTGTATTGATAATGAAATCTCACAATTAACTTCTTTTCTGATCAGGAACCCACCCGATTGGCAAACATTGAAAAGGTGGATGGCATTAAGATTTGCCAAGGATGTGGAGCAACCTAGAGACACACGTTGTTGAGGGAGTATCCATTGCCACAACCACCTTTGAATACAATATTTATTATTTTCATTCAAATAACAGAAAATATACATACTCTACCACTCAAATTTGCCTCTCTTAGTTTTGTATCTTGGAGTAGACTTGTAGAATCGGAAGGCACCATACATAGATATTTACTGAAATATTGTTTTAATCTGTCTAATCAAATGAACAAAAATAATTCAGAGTACATTATCCACAGAATGGATCAATAAATCATGGATATGCACCCAATGGAATACCATAGAGTAGAGAAAAAGAATACATTGCAGCTGTGAGAAACAATGTACATGAAAATCAGGAACATAATACTGCATGAAAGAAGTAAGGCTGCATGAGAGTACATGCAACATGCTTCCATTTATATAAAATGCAAAAAGGCGCAAACCTAACCAATTTAGAAACATTCTGGAGCATGGGAAGTTGCATTTACATACTCAGATGTAGTTTCTACAAATCCGAAATATTTTAAGCAGTATTTTTATTAGTTTACATAGCATATGTAACTCTGAAAGGGAGGCAAGTAGGCATAGATACAAAATAATATTCATAAAATCTATACAACCGACATACAATGACAACATAATGAGCATGAATGTACCGATTCAGTTTTAAAAGTAAACATTCTCGGCCGGGCGCAGCGGCTCACGTCTGTTATCCCAGCACTTTGGGAGGCCAAGTCTGGTGAATCACCAGGTCAGGAGTTCGAGACCAGGCTGGCTAAGATGGTGAAACCCCATCTCTACTAAAAATACAAAATTAGCTGGGTGTCATGGAGGGTGCCTGTAATCCCAGCTACTTGGGAGGCTGAAGCAGGAGAATCACTTGAACCTGGGAGACGGAGGTTTCAATGGGCCAAGATTGCACCTTTGCACTCCAGCCTGAGCGACAGAGCAAGACTCCTCAAAAATAAAATAAAATAAAATAAAACAAAATAAAAATAAACATTCTCACTTTCTGTAGTCTTCTGTGTGCTTTCACCCCTTTCCTCCAAGTAAAAAGAAACCCCATCCTCTATTTTATTTTGTTTCGTATTTTTACTCATTGGTGTGTCCACATCATTTTCTTGCTTTTTAAGACTGGAGATCTCTTTGACAACATTATGTTTCTTTATTTGCTTCCGGCCTTTAGAGCCTGTGCATACTCTACTTACGTGCATGCAGTTTTAACTTGAATGTAATATCTATTACATGAATAATGTTCCATTTCCCAATTCGTATCTATATTCCAGGAGTGGCACATATGTTAGAGCAAGTGCAGAACAAACTACATTTTTCATCACTGCACTTTAGACGTAAGTCACGTTAACATGTCAGGTATCTTGGCGGATACAAGATTACTAATGTCAGGTTATTTAACTAGGTAATTACAAGGAGCCTATATTTAAACTCGATTTTAAAAAGCACGTTTTAAATAAGAAAACTTAACAAGCCATGGGCTGAGTCCTGACAGCTGGGCCCCGCAGCGGCCACGTCACTGAGAGGGAGAGATTGTCTCTGTGACAGTGTGCACCAGGGCTACTGCCACAGGAAGCTGCTCCTCAGACCCAGCACATCACCTGCCGCAGGGAGAGTAGGGGTTGGTAGAAGAGTCCAGGCCCCAGCACCCTTCCTGCCCCAAGAATGTCTGCTTCAGGCTGCTTTATTCATCCAACTTGCAGGTGACATTTCATCTGAAAGACATGTTCTGAAGCAAAAAACTAAACAAATCATTGAACTAGGTATAAGATCTCTCCACTTCTCGACTGTTCTGGTATGACCACTTAAATTGTCACAAGCATAATTATCCAAATAATAGTAAATGTGTGGCTAAATTAAAATAGATAAGCACTACATCTTGATGAATGCTTTTAATCAATTCTCACTAAGCCAAAACAAAATTTGAAAAAAATTGTTTTACTCAATTACCCAAAACTGTATTTTCTTTTTAAATTGATGCATAATATTTGTACATATTTATGGGGTACATAAATATGATATTTCATTGCATGCATGGAATGTGTAGTAATGAAGTCAGGGTATTTGGGGTGTCCACCACCTTTTATCATTTCCATGTGTTGGAAACATTTCAAGTCCTTTCTTCTAGCTGTTTTTGAAATATACAATACATCATTATTAACTATAGTCACCCTACTAATATTTCTGTGATTGAACCCTAGAATGTATTCCTTCTAACTGTATGGTGATACCCATTGACCAACCTCCCCTCATTATCCCATCCCCCTGACCCACGTGCCCTTCCCAGCCTCTCGTATCTATCATTCTACTCTCTACCTCCGTGAGCATCTTTAGCATCCACATGAGTGAGAACCTCTTTAGCATCCACCTGAGTGAGAACATGTAATACAAAAATCGTATTTCCTACACATGTTCACTGTTTCCCAAATAAAACAAATTTTAGAGGATTGACATACAGTCGTGATATTTATTACTGAATTATTATAGCTTTGATATCAAAAACAAGAAAAAATACTTTGTGTTAGTTGACTGACTCACACTCCTCACACTCCTTTATACAATTTAGATATACACATACACACATACCATAACCACCATAACACACAAAAGCTTTTGAGCATTTCAAAGCATTTAGTTCAAATAAAAATTATTCTCAACAATAAAATTTTATTTTTCAAAAATGTCTAGGTATATATTTTTTCTATATTAACCTCTAAAGCTATGTAAACAAATTAAAATATGACTTAAAATATTTTGGATTTGTAGAAATTACATTTTAGTATGTAAATGCCATTTTCTATGCTCCAGAAACACTTATTTTTATTTTTATTTTTATTTTTTTGAGATGAAGTCTTGCTCTGTCGCCCAGGCTGGAGCGCAGTGACGCAATCTTGGCTCACTGCAACCTCTGCCTCCCAGGTTCAAGCAATTCTCCTGCCTCAGCCTCCCAAGTAGTTGGAACTACAGGCATGTGCCACCATGCCCAGCTAACTTTTGTATTTTTTTTAGTAGAGACAATGTTTCACCGTGTTGGCCAGGATGGTCTCGATCTCTTGACCTCGTGATCTGCCCGCCTCAGGCTCCCAAATTGCTGGGATTATAGGCGTGAGCCACCGCGCCCAGCCACTCCAGAAACTTTTCTAAATACAGGGAGTACTTCATATAGGCCAGCAACATTCCTGATTTGTTTATTCAAAGATGACTAAGAAGTTAGTCAGTCAACTTTTTACATTTTACGTGAGATTTTTTCTAGCTTAAGAATTGAGATATAAATGAGTTGGAACAAATTATTAGTATGGAATTACTGTTTAAGGATAAATGGTTTGCGAGTACTAAGTCATCAGTTACACTTGTGAGCTGGCTGACAACCTGGCACAGCTGAAAATACGAATTAATTTTCAATAGTCCAGCCCATCATGAGGAAAAGCAGAAATGCCCATCTGGACACTAAGAGAATCCCTGTGGGCTCTCACTCATTGCATTTCAATTATATTTAGGATGAGAGAAATGGCAAAATAATTAGACCTTTATGAAATTCAGAAATGTGTGAATCTTTTCCAAAACTTTATTAGACTTTAGTCATGCATCACATTCCCAGATTGGATGAGCAGCAGTTTATTGCCACATGGACAACTATCACAGAAAATGTTTAGTGATTGGAAAAGCTTGAACACAAAATGTATTTCCAGTAACTCTGATGGAATTGATATTACATTTGCCCACAAAGTTGTCACTTAGCAGCTTTTAGTGTTTAGGTAATACACACAAGTGATGGGGCAAGGCTCACTGCAGTGATGTAAGACCATAACAGGTCTTAGTTCCTGATGGAATCAATAGAGTAGCTGATAAAAGGGTGCTCTGAGTCACTCGGTGCCTCAGTCCATTTTTGCATTGCTATAAAGGAATATCTGAAGCTGGGAAACTTATAAAGAAAAGACGTGTATTTGACTCAGGGCTCTGCAGGCTGTACCAGAAGCGTGGCACTGACATGTACACCTGGAGAGGGCCTCAAGCTGCTTCCACTCATGCGGGAAGGTGGGGTGGAGTGTGCACAGATCACATGGTGAGAGAGGAGGCAAGAGAGAGGGGAGGTGCCAGGTTCTTCTTAACAACCAGCTCTTGCAGGAGATAACAGAGCGAGAACTCACTCATTACCCCCACTCCCCAGCACCAAGACATCCATGAGGGATCCGACCCCATGACCCAAACACCTCCCATTAGGCCCCACTTCCAACATTGGGATCAAATTTCAACATGAGGTTTGGAGGGTTCAAATATTAGTGACTGGAATGTGGATCATTACATTATTATTTCTTTAGACACATCAGTTACTCTAAGGATTTGCACCATGTATCCATATGAATTGATATCCCCATGGCCAATCCAGGAATGCTTATATATCTGCTCACAATACTTTTTTCAGGCTCATTAGTTCAATGCAATGTAACATTTAGAATACATCACAGAGTAGCATAGTAAGGAAAGGCCTTTATATTTTGTTCTAAGTGTGATACAAATATGCTGGAGGACTTTAATGTGAATTATGAGTTGAGAAGATAAATTGGGCAGCTGCAGAAAAATAGGCTGAAGGTGGGCAAAGGCCAAGGCAAGGATACCAGGTGGGGGCCATGTTGGCAGCCCAGGCAGAAGGAGATGGTCGCTTGATCCAGGGTGAGGGTAGAGGTGAAATGGGGTAAGACTTCAGAAGGAGAGTGAAGTCAGACTCTACAGATTTTATGATCAACTGCATGTAAATTTGAGAGAACCGGAAGAACTGAGGACAACTGTGACATTTGGCCTGAATGGGTGGTGGATGACTTGCTGCCTCTTAGACTGGAAATGCTTAAAGGGAAGGAGATTTGGGAAGTGAAAACCAGGAGTTCATGTTTGAACACGTTAAGCTGGACATGACATTGAGACATCCGAGTGGATGTATGGAGAGGGCTGAGGACTGTGTCACCAGGAGCTCACAGGAGAGGTGGTGGGAGGGAAATCCTGCAGAGACATCAGACTCTGGCTGGGATTTAAGGCTGTGAGAGAGGACAGCGAATCAGCCAAGAGCTGAGCCCTGAGGTCTCCAGCCTTGAGAGGAAGTTGTGACTTCAGCAACAGATTTTCAGTGTTGCTCTCCTTTTTGGCTATAGTTCCATTCGCCCTGCCTCTGCCCCCAACCACCTGCCCTCATGGGTACATATTGAGCAACAGGAAGAACTACTGATCAGATTTTTTTTAAGTGTAAAAACAGCAAAGAAACAACGGACCACTCCTTTCAAAGGCAGAAGCAGGGATGTTTTGCTCCTTGGTTAAGCTAAATCTGGACATGATGCCAGCTTCATGGCCCTTCCCTGAACCCCTACCTACTGATACTGAGGAGTTTGTACAGTTCCAAGAGTGTTTCAGTAAACAATCTTTTTGTGCAAGGTACAGTTACCTACAAGTTAACAGAAAACCCTGTTCACCTGGTTTAAACAGTTAAATCTCACAAGCAAGGATCTGGAAGAGAGAGCAGATTAGGGTCGGTCCGCTCCAGGGCCTGCGGTGTTACCAGAACCTACTATCTCCATCTGTTGGCACTGCCATCCCCAGCACGCACCCTGCCCTCGGGCTCGCTCCTCGCTGGTCCTAAGGTGACCTCACGTCAGTCAGGACAGCACCAGTGGAAGGAGAGCGGTGAACCTCTGCTCTCACTTTTTTATGTCGGTGCGGAACTCTTTCTCAGGGGCTCCCAGATTCCTCATGGCTCCGTTGCCAGAATTCGGTCAGAGGCTCCCCCTAAACCAGAGGTAATAAGGTCAGCATGACTTCATGGTGACTTTGCTCCTAGGCTGGAAATTGGGTCACCTTCTCTTAGCACACATGAGCCAAAGCAAGGCTCTGATGGCAAGTAAGTGGGGGTGGAGGCAGGGGCTCGGCTGCTGTGGAAGAAACAGCAGTGTGGGCTGTGTATAGCTTCAATTTCCGGGTGGGCCCAGCCAATGTGTGTTCCTTCTGGGAAGAGGAACATGAGGTCATTGTGGGGCAGGAAGAGTGGAGACCAAATCCATGCACCCTATGGAATACAAAGCAATGAGGAACGTGGACCAGCCCACAGCTAACAAGCTGGGGAGACAGGAGGCTGAGACCCCGGACACACCCGATCCCAATTGAAAAAGACACTCCTTTTAGGTGACAGATTTTTGGCTGGACCAAAATTTCTTCATTCCCCTGAACGTTCCCCAAGGCCCATCTGTGCACTTCCTTATAAAGTGCAGTTTAGCAAGAACCCTGCTAAGTCAGTTTAGTAAGAACTCCCCACCCTCAATATCTGATCACCGCAATACCCAATCAGGTTTGTCATCCTCCGCTATCCCCCGGTTGATACCTCATCAGCCTGGCCTGTCTTCAGCAAGAATCCTACCAGGGGTAGCTTTAGCCAGAATCCCCCAGCCCTGCTGTTTCCTCTTCATAATTTTCCACCCACTGGCCCCCACCATGCCCTTGGTTATAAATTCCCACTTGCCCATGCTGCATTTGCAGCCCAGTTTCTCTTCTCCACTCTGAAATCCCATTGCCATGGACCCTATACCTGTCTCCATAGATCCCTCCTTCAGGAAAGTCTCTTGTACAGTGCTTTAACGAGTGTACCTGAATATCATTTCTCTGTTACATAAGAGTGAGAAAAGGAAGCCCCACTATGTGGGGCATAATTGAAACATGGATGTGCGTGCATTTCAGCTGATGATTCATTCATTCATTCAGTAAGTAAGTACTAATTAGGCACCTAACTGTGTCTGGAAATGTGCTAACTGCTGGGCACAAAGATTATAAATTTATAGATTATAGATCTATAGGAAGACATGGATATATGTTCAGGTAAACATAGAGTGCCAGGGCAGAGCTCTGGGTAGGCCCAGAAAAGTGATAGACGGCACTTTCCAGTGGGAACAGGATCATGCCACAGAGGGACTTTGTGTGATCTATGCCTAAAAAATGGTTATTTCCATGTCAGAAAGTGGAGAGAAAAGCATTTAGAACATGTAAACATGAACCTAGGCTGAAAACTTAATGTCTACGCATTTTAACACTATTTCTATGTCAACTGCAAATATGTCTACAGTTCATTTTATGACGTGCAAAGACAGGCTGCCTTTCTGCTCAGTCTGGACATTAGTTGAAAAAATACCATGGAACAATACCTAAGAAAATCAGTCAATATTTGGCATAAAAATCAAGCACATCTAGCCCCATGCCTGCTGAGGTTGCCTGCCAAGATTCTCCCACAGAGGAGAAATTCTAGTAATTTTCAATGCACCACTGGCTTTTTTCCTGATTCTGCCAGAAAACATCTGTTTGTTCCACGACTTGTCAGTAGGTTTATTCCCTTTAATTTTCACTTTGTGGCATAGAATGTCTAAGTAACCGATGAAAGAAAAAAAACAGTTGCTGCCACTCAATGATAAGGTCTTTCTCTAGACCAGGGGTTCTCAATCTGGAGGAATTTTGCCCCTCAGGGGACATTTGGCAATGTCTGGAGACATTTTTGATTGTCACGACTTGGGTGGGAGAAATTACAGTTTAAATTGCACTCTTATGTTCAATCATTTTTAAATGAAAGACCTCTTTCTCCTCGTGTGTGTGTGTGTGCACGTGCATCCCCCCCCACACACGCACCCACACTGAAAATAAGGAGAGGTTTTCTATTCACACATCCTTCCCTTCTCTAGCAGGAGCGGGACAGAGCTATCCCTTGCCTTGGCTACCTGTGGTGTGGGTGCAGTCCCCTTTCTCGACTGGCCATGGGTTACCTTTGTGTGGCAGGTGTACAAATAATCATTCCTTCAAGGAGTGACTTTTTGGGATCTTTGCAAGATCTTACGAGCCCAGGGCCTTGTTTCTGCAAAGTTCATTGGCATGGAAGATCCTTCTCAAACTGACATCACATCTCTCCCCAGCTTCTGACCAAACTTCCTTCTGCAGAAATTCCCTTACTCAGTAGGCATTTTTGTGAAGATGGTGGAGCCAGGAAAATGGCTTAACCTCAGCCTCCTGCTGTGGTGCTGTTAACTCCATAGACACGCGTGGACCCTTGCCATGCCCCAGGCTAGAAATGGCTGCTCTTTGAAGACTCCTTTCTCAACCCTCTATGTTCTCTTCTTCCCTTTTCTCCAGCCTCAGCAGCTCATCTTCTCTGCCAACTGTGTAGCTTAGCAACTTCCCAATGAGGGACTCGCCCATTCCGAACTTTAGGGTTTAGGGTCCCAATCTCCAGGAGTAATCCTTTCTCTTAGGGCTATATCCTTTGGCTTTAGAGAGGTGAACAAGACTAGGATCTTTTCAGGAACATAGCACTCCCCAACTAGGTGACCATTCCTCCACCCTAGGTCCTTCTCTGATGTCCACTGTGGGACAAGAGTCTGGGAGAGGGTTTGTTTTCCCGAATTCAGACGTCCCAGCAAGCCTGTGGGAACCTGGGTGTCCTGAGAGGCAGCAATAACTGGAATGCCTTGTTCTCAGCTCTGAGCCTTACCCACAAATTGGCACAATTTTTTTAAAGTCTCTCCTGACACCTAATGCATCCTATTATTCACAAAAGCACTAATTGAAGAGAACATTGTTTTCCAAAAATGTCCAATGATTTACATATTCCTTCTCTACCTTTCACTTCGATTCAGCTATGTATTCATATGCAAAACCTAGAACTCTTAGAACAAAGGCTTTCCACTCCTGTCTCCCTCCATTCAGCCATGGCTGTCAGCAATCTGTCCAACATAAGAGGGACCAGAACCTTCTTCATCATCTCCCTCACAATTTCCAGCAGTTCCAGTTGGCCAAATGTGGTTCAAGACAACAGTTCAGCTTAAGGAACCTCTTTGTTAGATGTCTGATGCCTGATGCATGAAGCTTCCTCTCATCCTTTTTTTCCATTCTAAAATGTATGTACTTGAGTGAAGGGTGGAAGGATAGAGAAGTTAATATAGTCACATAGCAATAACCTAGTTTAGGTGTTTCACAGCTTACTTTTCTAAAAGTAGACAATCTGGCCAGGTGTGGTGGCTCATGCCTGTAATCCCGGCACTTTTGGAGGCTGAGGTGGGTGGATCATGAGGTCAGGAGATCGAGATAATCCTAGCTAATATGGTGAAAACCCATCTCTACTAAAAATACAAAAAATATTAGCCAGGCGTGGTGGCGGACACTTGTAGTCCCAGCTAGTCGGGAGGCTGAGGCAGGAGAATGGCATGAATCTGGGTGGCGGAGCTTGCAGTGAGCCGAGATCATGCCACTGCACTCCAGCCTGGGCGACTGAGCAAGACTCCATCTCAAAAAAATAAATTAATTAATTAAATAAAATAAAAGTAGACAATGCAAAGTATAACTAATGAGTGAAGGAATTTTTACAAGTATTATAACCTTTCTCATTATGTTCAGAAAATAAATATATTGAATAGATTTATATTTTTGTTCTTGTTTCTTACCTGTTTAGTCAACTGATTTTCTTTTTTTCTTTTTCTTGAGATGGAGTCTTGGTCTGTCTCCTATGCTGGAGTGTACTCTGTAGTGGCGCAATCTTGGCTCACTGCAACCTCTGCCTCCTGGGTTCAAGCGATTCTCCTGCCTCAGCCTCCCAAGTAGCTGGGATTACAGGCATACACTATCAAGCCTGGCTAATTTTTGTATTTTTAGTAGAGGCGGGGCTTCCCCATGTTGGCCAGGCTGGCCTTGAACTCCTGACCCCAAATGATTTGCTTGCCTCAGCCTCCCAAAGTGCTGGGATTAGAGGCATGAGCCACCGTGTCTGGCCAATTTATTTTCTTTTGAATTGCATTTAAATGTTGTCAGGTTAAAGTTTTGAAAGGATGGCGATTATTAAAAAGTCAGGAAACAACAGACGCTGGCGAGGCTGTGGAGAAATAGGAACACTTTTACACTGTTGGTGGGAGTGTAAATTAGTTCAACCATTGTAGAAGACAGTGTGGCAATTCCTCGAGGATCTAGATCCAGAAATACCATTTGACCCAGCAATCCCTTTACTGGGTATACACCCAAAGGATTATAAATCATTCTGCTATAAAGACACATACACATGTATGTTTATTGCAGCACTATTTACAAAAGCAAAGATTTGGAACCAACCCAAATGCCCATCAATGATAGACTGGATGAAGAAAATGTGGCACATATACACCATGGAATACTACGCAGCCATAAAAAGAATGAGTTCATGTCCTTTGCAGGGAAATGGATGAAGCTGGAAGCCATCATTCTCAGCAAACTCACACAGGAACATAAAACCAAACACTGCATGTCCTCATTCATAAGTGGGAGTTGAACAATGAGAACACATGGACACAGGGAGGGGAACATCACACACCAGGGCCTGTCCGGGGGTAAGGGAAAAAGGGAGGGAAAGCATTAGGACAAAAACCTAATGCATGTGGGGCTTAAAACCTAGATGACTGGTTGATAGGTGCAGCAAACCACCATGGTACATGGTACGTGTATACCTATGTAACAAAACTGAACATTCTGCATAGGTATCCCAGAACTTAAAGTGAAATAAAAAATTAAAAATTAAAAGATTTAAAAAAATATATACTTTTTTTGAGACAGAGTTTCGCTTTGTCACCAGACTGGAGTGCGGTGGCATGATCTCAGCTCACTGAAACCTCTGCCTCCCCGGTTCAAGCGATTTTCCTGCCTCAGCCTCCTGAGTAGCTGGGACTACAGGCGCACGCCACCACACCTGGCTAATTTTTGTATTGCTAGTAGAGACGAGGTTTCACCATGTTGGCTAGGAAGGTCTCGATCTCTTGATCTAGTGATCCACCCGCCTTAGCCTCCCAAAGTGCTTGGATTACAGGCGTGAGCCACCGCACCCACCGCAAAAAATGAAAATTCTTTTTTTTTTTTTTGAAGATGGAGTCTCGCTCTGTTGCCCAGGCTGGAGTGCAGTGATGCCAGATCGGCTCACTGCAACCTCCGCCTTCTGGATTCAAGCGATTCTCCTGCCTCAGCTTCCTGAGTAGCTGGGATTACAGGCATGCGCCACTACGTCCAGCTAATTTTTGTATTTTTAGTAGAGATGGGGTTTCCTGTGTTAGCCAGGATGGTCTCCATCTCTTGACCTCGTGATCCGCCCACCTCGGCCTCCCAAAGTGCTGGGATTACAGGTGTGAGCCACTGCGCCAGGCCAAAAGAAAGAAAATTCTAATAAAAAATAATAAAAGAATGCAATGAACTGCTTCCATGGGTACTTAAAGTACTAAACCTGTTACAGTTCAAAGCATTCATTATTGATTTTCTTGAACAGATTTTGTCCATACAAAATATTTATGCTAATCTCCCATTCCATAGGTTGCCTCTTGATTTTGTTGATTATTTCCTTTGTTATGCACAAGCTTTATTTCACTTGTTCATTTTTGATTTTCTTGTCTGTGATTTTGATGTCATGTCCAAAAAAATCATTGTCAAGATAAATGTCAAGGAGCTTTCTCCTTCAGTTTTCTAGGCATTTTATGGTTTCAGGTCTTACATTTAATTCTTTAATCCATTTTGAGTTAATTTGTGTGTATTATAAAGGTCCAGTGTCATTCTTTTACAAAACACATAAGTGTTTAATATCCAAAATATATTAGAGACTCATGCAACTGAAATGCAAGAAAACAAATAGCCAATTTTTAAAAATGGGTGAAGGACACGAACAGACATTTCTCAAAAAGACATACAAATGGCAGACAAGCAGCCGGGCGTGGTGGTGGGCACCTGCAGTCCCAGCTACTCGGGAGGCTGAGGCAGTAGAATGGCGTGAACCCGGGAGGTGGAGCTTGCAGCGAGCCGAGATTGCACCACTGCACTCCAGCCTGGGCAACAGAGCGAGACTCTGTCTCAAAAATAAATAAATAAATAAATAAATAAGTAAACCAACAACAACAACAAAACAAATGGCCAACAAGCATATAAAAAATGCTCAGTGTCACTAATCATCAGGAAAATGCAAATCAAAACCACAATGAGGTATCACCTCAGCATTTCTTAGGATTGCTATTATTAAGAAAAGAAAACAAGTCTTGGCAAGGCTGTGGAGAAAAGGAAACCCTTGCGCACTGTTTTTGGGACTGTAAACTGATGTAGCTCTTATGGAAAACAATGTGGTGGTTACTTTAAAAATTAGAAATAGTGGCGGGGCGCGGTGGCTCACGCCTGTAATCCCAGCACTTTGGGAGGCCGAGTTGGGCGGATCACGAGGTCAGGAGATCAAGACCATCCTGGCTAACACTGTGAAACCCCGTCTCTACTAAAAATACAAAAACAAAATTAGCCGGGCGTGGTGGCGGGTGCCTGTAGTCCCAGCTACTCGGGAGGCTGAGGCAGGAGAATGGCTTGAACCCGGGAGGCGGAGCTCGCATTGAGCCGAGATCGCACCACTGCACTCCAGCCTGGTCGACAGAGCGAGACTCCGTCTCAAAAAAAAAAAAAAAAATTAGAAATAGAACTTCCGTATCATCTAACAATGCCACTTCTGGGTATATATTCAGAGGAACTGGAATCAGGATCTCAAGGAGATATCCACACTGCCACGTTCACTGCACCATCATCCACAACAGTTAAGATGTATAAACACCCTAAATGTCCATCAATAGATGAATGGAGAAAGAAATCACAGTTTGTACTGTGAAAGAAAAACTAATCTCGGGACCCCAAAATTAGTAAGCCAAGGGAAAAGTCAGTCTGGGAACTATGTCAGACAAACCTGCCTCCCTTTTGATTCCTAAATAAAATAGCCTACAAAGATAAAAAGCTACATACCTCCCTCACATTTTGCCCATAAGGAAATTCCTTGTGGACAAAGGACAGACAGAACTCAAAATCATTCCTCTGAGGCTCACCTGAGACAAATGCATATCTGATTGCTTCCTCTGCCCTATTGTTTATGTACAAAGCAGATTCACTGAGCCAGACTAAATTGTGTAGTTAGTGGAAGGCGTATCAAGGACTCAAAAGAATGCAACCTTTTTGTCCCATGTCTCTTCTAACCTGGAAGCCTCTTCTAAACCTGGAACCTGGTGGGGGTGGGGGGAGTCGAAGTAAGGTGGAGTTGTCCCACCTTACTGGACCAAATCAATGTACATATTACATATGTTGATTGATGTCTTATGTCTCCCTAAAATGTATAAATCCAAGCTGTGCCCCGACCACCTTGGGCACATGTCATCAGGATCTCCTGAGGCTGTGTCACCGGTGCATCCTTAAACCTTCGTGAAATAAACTTCCTAAATTGACTGAGATCTGTCTCAGATATTTTGGGTTCATAGTACATACAATGGAATATTATTCAGCCTGAAAAAAGAAGGAAATTCTTCCAGTTGCAACAAAATGAGTGGACCTGCAGGGCATAATGCTAGGTGAAATAAGCCAGACACAGAAAGGAAATACTGCATGATCTCACTTATATGTAGAAGCTAAAATAATCACACAAGTAGAAATAGAGAATAGAATAATGGTGATCAGGGGCTAGGGGTTGGGGTAAATGGGAAGGTGATGATTAAGGGGTACGAAGTTTCATTTATGCAAGGTAAATAAGTTCTGGAGATCTGCCATACAGCGTAGTGCCTACGGCTAAGAACACCTTACTGTGTAATTAAAATTGCTAAGAAGGTAGATCTTATGTTAAGTGTTCTCACCAAACAAAATGAAACAGTAACAATAATAAAGAGTCAATAGGAAACTTTGGGAGGTGATGGATATATTTATGGCCATGATAGTGATGTTGGTTTCATAGGCATATTCTTATTCTAAACTCATCAAGACAAATACATTCAATATGTACAACTTTTAAAAAGCAGTAAAACAGAAACAAAATATTTATTCTAGATTTTCCGTGGCAGCAAAGGCTGCCCACTCATCCTCAGGTCTGTCAAAACTTTAGCCAAGTGAATGTGTTTATAACTTATGCAAATCAGGTACCTGAAAATCTGCTCAAATATTTTGATAAAGATAACTACAAGCCCAAGTTTTCATCTTTCCATTTTCTTTGCTACCCAAAATGTAAAAAAAAATCATCGATAAATTAGAGATATTGACACCAGTAACCAATTAGAATCTGACTCTGCCTAAATATTGGCTTTCCTCTCTGCAGTCTTGGATTTTCTTCACCATCAACGGCTCATTTTATGTCTCACGTGGGGTTGTTTCTCACAAAGAACCAAGTAGAAACATAAAATGTGGCTGTATTTGTGGCTTCTAATGACAGAGATTCCACATGCTATGAACAAGCTATCTGGAAAGGAGAAAGAAGAGTGGGATTCCCAGTGTTCACTGAGGGGATGGGGTCTTCTGGAGCTGAGGATGGCCTAATCTTGAAGGGTCTTCAAAGCCATGCAGAGAACCAAGTGATGTCATTGGCTTGAAGTAAGAGTCAGTGTTACAGACAACTAGTGAGACTCACAGGTGAGTTCCTCATGGAGATACTGCGAAGGCATCATCTTCCATTATGCCGTGGATTAGAATTTCTCCTAGAACTTGTCTCCAAAAATTGTGGTTCTTTCCTTGATTAACAGGTGTGTTTTTAAATTGTAGCCAGTTGGGATCTTATGACTGACTCTTGCTCCTTATTCACTCTGCCTACCAAGAACGCAGTACTAAATTGCTCTACTAAAATCAACAGCTGTAAAAGTTTTCATGGCCTGTCATTGTGGGTACCAACTCACTCTAGCTTTTTCTTACTAATCAATCCTCATTTTATCTTTGTCCTAATTTCCTTTGTTTAAACTTAGAGTGCATCCAAAGTGACATAAATTGTCTAATATTTAAAATGATATGGAATATAAATATATGGAAAAGCCTTTTTTTCCCCTTTCCTTTTTTTTCTTTTTCCTTTGAGATGGAGTCTCACTCTGTCACCCAGGCTGGAGTGCAATGGCGTGATCTCGGCTAATTGCAACTTCTGCCTCCTGGGTTCAAGCGATTCTCCAGCCTCAGCCTCCTGAGTAGCTGGGATTACAGGCATGCGCCACCACTCCCGGCTAATTTTGTATTTTTAGTAGAGAAGGAGTTTCTCCGTGTTGACCAGGCTGGTGTCGAACTCCCAGCCTCGGGTAATCCACCCGCCACGGCCTCCCAAAGTGCTAGGATTACAGGTGTGAGCCACCGCGCCCAGCCAGCATTTGTACTTCATAAAGTTAAAAAAAAAAAGTTATCTGTTTATCTTTGTGCTTGTAATATAAATGAACCAGTGGCACTTTGGAATGCCACATGCAGAATGAATAGAAAAAGTTTAAAATATTGGTGCAGGAGGTCAATCAGAAAGATATATATCCATTAGAATATCTAGATATGAGATGATAAAGACATGGAATAAAGTAATAGCTCTTTATTTCTTCCCAAAAATGTTCAATTGCTCTCCTTGAAGTATATCCATTTTCTAAATACTTCCTCTTTATTCTCCTGTAATTCAGTAGGATTTAAGACCAACAGAAGTATTGTGTATTTCTAGTGTAGTCAGTCTGGATTCAAGTCATTTAGAATGTTATACACAGTTGGTTCAACCACCCTACTATGTCTGGAATTGTCTTCTCCCCAGTTGCAACTTTTCTCTCACTTATTCTCTGCCTCCATTGGGAACACAGCTGGGGTGAGAATGGGAATGTTTGCAGGGTGATCCAAACCAGGCCTGAGCATGGTTCTGCCATGGCTTTACCCCACGAATGCTCCAGTCACACCCACGCCCAAGGAATCTGTAGGGGACATGGAAATCCAGCTTAAAGAAGTGGCATTTATGTTTCTGCATGTTTGTTTACTAGGGATGTAACACGGCCATTTAGAGGAGACTAGCACTTTGCAGCAGGCTCCTTGAAAGAAGAGATGGACCCCTTCATCGCAGTTAACCTGCCATGCCAAACAAACATGTTCATGGGCATCACTTTCTCAGTCCAACAGGGCCGTTGGAGCACAGAAGCCAGGCAGACACAAGCGGTATGTTGAAGTCAGAAGTGGTCTGATTCAGGGCCAGGGTGGGGGTGATGTAATGAAGTGCCGAGGGCACAGACCTTAGGGAGACACTCACTGTCACGGTTGTGCAAGTGCAGCATCTCCTTAAATCTTGTCCCCTGTGTGTCTTGTCTTACCCTAGTTCCAAAACACATCTAACTTTTCAGCAAGAGAGAACAGATGTCAGTCATATAAATAGCAGAAATGAGAGAGCCAAGAAAAAGAACAGCTTTGTGTTGAAAAGAAGTGTGGTTAAGAATACACAGCATTTGAGGTAACAAGACTTCCTCCGGATAGGGACTAGGGTTTTCTCTGCATCCAGGCTGGGAATCCCGAGCTCAGAAGAGATGGTGGAGATGTAGGGTTCAGAGACTTTTGCTTGCTTTTCCTAACTCTTGCTAGCCAGAAACACTCTGCAGTTTCACTTTTTTAACCTTTGGATTCATCCCATTTTAGTCCTCTTCTATGCCTTAAAAACACTGAAGATGAGAAGATCAAACCTGATGAAAGTCATGTTCTGTTTTCTGTGCTTTCATCATCCAACATCAATAGACTCTGACGCTGTGGCCTTGTGTGGTGCGTCTGCGTTCGTTGTGAGTTTCAAAGCTGAAGAAAGTTAGTGGGTGTTGGCATGTTCTCACTCATAGGTGGGAATTGAACAATAAGAACACATGGACACAGGAAGGGGAACATCACACACCGGGGCCTGTCGTGGGGTGGGGGGAGGGGGGGATAGCATTAGGAGATATACCTAATGTAAATGACGAGTCACTGGGTGCAGCACACCAACATGGTGCATGTATATATATGTAACTAACCTGCACGTTGTGCACATGTACCCTAGAACCTAAAGTATAATAATAAAAAAAAGAAAGTTAGTGGGTGTCTTTCCCACTCCTGTTCTTCAGTTGTGGTTTTTCAAAAGTTGGCAGACATGTTTGATAAAATTCTATCAAAGAAGTCATCATGATGACATTAGGGTGTCTTCCTTTATGTTTTTCGTCTTTATTCAGTGGTTGTGTGTGATGTTCCTTCTGCTCCATTTTTTTGTTTTGTTTTGAATTTCATGATGTACCATGCGGGAGTGACCCACAGTTCCAGATGATTGATTAAAACCCCTCAGGCTCACACTGCTCACTGTTGACACATCCCTTGAGTTTTGAATGAGATCAGTTACGTTCATCTCCACTGCATTCTGCCTTCTTGTCTTGCTCCCTTCATTATTTACTTTTCTGCCCATTCTTTTATGTTGATAACTAATCTGTGTTCTTTAATCTTATTACCCACACTAACACAGAATAACATTTTAATGTTCAATTTTTAAAACCATTCTACTTTAAGGTGTAAACTCTTTTCACCTGCTAAACAGAGCGCAGCCGTATTTCAGCTAATTAACCCACAGCATGTATACACCTGATAATTCAATCGCACATTTGGCTTACTGCCTTTTAAAGGCTGTCTTAGAGAGGGATTCCTATTAAAATTAAGAAGAGTTTTGAATTTGAAATATGATCAAGTCCTAAATGTTAGAGCTGGAGGAAAGTGTGTGCATTATTTTATTTGAACTCTTGCGTGGTATATATGGAGACCAAAGTGCTGGCACGTGCTCACTCCAGGTCTGTCAACTCAGTAGAGCCACTACCAGACTTCCAGTCTCCCAACTCCTATTCCAGGAGTTTAGCTCTGAGAAAAGAAAAACAAAACAAGACAGAAAATTGTAGTCAATGTATATAATGAACTAATTGTTCATACATTTATGCACAACATGTAAAAAGAAAGTACAATGAGCTTGACCTTAATTATATTAAATAAGTAGAAAAGAGTTCTTAAAATGTACCAAATGGCAGAATGCATCATACTGGAAAATGTATTTATTTAGTACATACCTAGGAGAAGCTTTTCAGAGAATTTGCTTAAAAGGCAGACTCTTAATACATTTTGAACATATTTCACAAAACAAGTTTATCCGAAGAAAAACTTATAGTAAAATACAAAACAGGACATTGTTAACAACACTGAACACACTGAGATAACATTCTATTACTGCTGCCGTGGAGTAGACCAGAAAAATCTGCTTATGCCATTGCCCATGATATTTATGATAATTATTTAAGAGAAGCATTAACTGGGGGAATGGACAGCATCTTATCTACTTTGTAATAGCAGCGTTTAACGGGATGTCCCTGGGTAATACAGAGGAGACACTCTAACAACAATTATTGAATCGATAGGATAAAAAACATAGAGAAACAGACGTCAAGAGCTCAGAACAAATGGAAGAGCAAGGGGCCAGGATGTAAGGAGATTAATAAGCTTTGGGGATTGGGGTGGGAAGTAAAAATAAATTTCATCTGCTTCCTCATTAATTTTCAGTAGAACCAACCCTGCTCATGAAACTGGATTAAGATTTCACGTGGAAACTATCAAGTTAGAGGACTTCAAGAGTGTCAGTGTGGTGATGCACTCACAGGACAGGGCAAAGCTAGCACTCATGTTCAACACTTGAGATAGTCTCTACTGGGAAAATGTGGGAAAATGTCCTCAATCCAATTTGAATGGGAACCATGTTGAGAATTCCTGGTACATTGTATATAGAAAAATAATTAATACTTCCTAGTAGGCATTTAATATCTTATAGATATTATAGTAGAGGTTTTGAATACTCATTTATGTCTGACAATATTCAAATAATATATTTAAAAATAGCAGCTATAATTTATTGCCCGTGTGCCCAGACAGTGGACAGTGTACCAAGAAGCACTGTAATCAATATTTTATATGAATAATCTGATTTATTTTTCTCACTAAACTCCATGAAATATTTTATTCACTTTATTTTGAAGAAGAGGGATGAAACAGTTGCAAAGTAAAACTTTAGGAAGCATCTATTTGTTTATAAATGTATCACAAAGATATTCAGCCCACACTCAGCAGAAGTTTGAACCACTGGGGGACAAGATGAGAAGATCTTTCATTTTGAGACGTGTCCAGGAGCATTTCCCTGGACTGTGAGAAGAACCATGCTGCCTGTCTGTGCTGGGGAGGCCAGAGTTTGTCTGAACCATGAACTTGCCAGGTGCAGGCCTAGGGCTACACTCAGAGCACTCTCCAGACAGGAGAGAGAGCAGCCCTGCTCTGCCTGAACTCTGCCCAGCAGCATAGTCCAGCTGTCCCAAGAGTGCAGCTCTCAACAGTTATTCCTCCTAATGCTGTCACTGCTTTTCCAAGTGTTGGTCCTTTGGAAATTAGTTCCTGCTGTCTTATACACTTGAAGGCACATGATTTTATTTCTATAAAGAGAGGCAAAGTATAGAGTTTATACCTAGTTAAGTTGGCTTTTTCTCCAATTAATTTCACTTAAACTTTATTTTGTACTAGCTTCGTATTAAAATAAATAACTGTTTCTGGAATTTTTCACACTCAGAAAAAAATGGCATTCATATTAGAAATAACATTAGAGTATTTTGATTTAAAATAGTTTGAAACTACATTTTATTAAAATATTTGAATCCTTTAAGGCACAGCCTAGCACCTTAATAAAAAAATTGAATATCTCCCAATATTGCTGGTTATGCAACATAAATGAATAAAAGCTTACTGTAAGAAAAAAAATTCAACTTTTAGATTCAGGGGATACATGTGCAGATTTGTTACATGGGTATAGTGTGGGACTCTGAGGTTTGTGTACAAATGATCTTATTACTCAGGTAGTGAGCATAGTACCCAATAAGTAGCTTTTCAACCCTTACCCTCCCTCCTTCTCTCCCCCTTCTAGGAGTCCCAGTGTCTTTTGTTCCCATCTTTATGCTCATGTGCACCCAATGGTTTGCTCCCATTTATATGTGAGAACATGGTATTTAGTTTTCTGTTGCTTTGTTAATTCACTTAGGGTAATGGCCTCCAGCTGCATCCATGCAGCTGCAAAAGACATGATTTTTTTTTTTTTGGACGGAGTCTTGCTCTGTCGCCCAGGATGGAGTACAGTGGTGTGATCTCAGCTCACTGCAAGCTCTGCCTCCCAGGTTCATGCCATTCTCCTGCCTCAGCCTCCTGAGTAGCTGGGACTACAGGCACCCACCACCATGCCCGGGCTAATTTTTTTGTATTTTTTAGTAGAGACGAGGTTTCACCGTGTTAGCCAGGATGGTCTCGATCTCCTGACCTTGTGATCCACCCGCCTTGGGCTCCCAAAGTGCTGGGACTACAGGTGTGAGCCACCACACCAGGCCGATTTTGTTCTTTTTTATGGTTGCATAATATTCCATGGTGTATATGTACCACATTTTCTTAATTCAATCCACTATTTATGGGCACCTAGTTTAAACCAAAACAGCATGGTACTGGTACAAAAACAGATACATAGACCAATGGAACCGAAGAGAGAACCTAGAAATAAATCCACATACCTACCACCATCTGATCTTTGACAAAGTTGATGAAAATAAGCAATGAGGAAAAGACTCCCTATTCAATAAATAGTGCTGGGATAACTGGTTAGCCATATGCAGAAGAATGAAACTGGACCCCTACATTTTACCATATACAAAAATTAACTCAAGATGGTTTAAAGATTTAAATGTAAGACCTCAAACTATAAAAATCCTAGAAGAAACTTTAGAAAATATCATCCTGGGCTGGGCGCGGTGGCTCATGCCTGTAATCCCAGCACTTTGGGAGGCCAAGGCGGGCGGATCACGAGGTCAGGAGACCGAGACCATACTGACTAACACGGTGAAACCCCATCTCTACTAAAAACATAAAAACAAAATTAGCCAGGCATGGCGGCGGGCTCCTGTAGTCCCAGCTACTCGGGAGGCTGAGGTGGGAGAATGGCATGAACCCGGGAGGCGGAGCTTGCAGTGAGCCGAGATCGCGCCACTGCACTCCAGCCTGGGTGACAGAGGGAGACTCTGTCTCAAAAAAAAAATAAAAATAAAAATAAAAATAACTAAAAATAGAACCACCATTGAACTCAGTAGTCTCACTACTGGATGTCTACCCAAAGAAAAAGAAATTGTTTTATAAAAAAGACACCTGCACTGGTTCGTTCATCACAGCACTATTTACAATAGCAAAGACATGAAAACCTGCCATGTTTGTTTTATGTTTTTGGAATCAGAAACACCAATCAGTCAGGGCCCTTTCTCTGCACTGTTTCTAATCATCCATCCCCATCATGGCAATACAGCCTCATCTGGCCCCAGTAACCTCCAGTTTTCACAGAGCTTCTTTTCCCATGTATCCCCTCTCATGAGAGGCTCAGCGTTAAATTCAAATGCTCTGCGTTACTGCCCACCTCCTTTGAGAGGGAAGATAGCATGAGCTCATTGAATCCTCTTCTGCGGGGTGGCCCAAAACCTGAAAATATTACGGAATATCCATAATAGGTGATTTATTGATACACCATTCCAGTTCGTGATATTACATGACATGAGATACGTAATGGTGTTGATCTGCAATAGCAACAAAAAGTCCAAGATACTGTGCAAAACTACAGTCACCATGGTGCCTTAAGACACACCTTCATCAACCCCTCAGATGTTCCCCATTGAGACATTGCCTCAGATGATTGGTGCCTCTGATTTTCATTGAATAAACCCGCACTTTTTGCATATTCCAGAGAAAGTAATCACGAGGGTTCCGAGCTGAGGAGCATGCAGCCCACTCCTCAGGGCTACATTGTCCATCTCAGTTTTGGAAATTACCAACCATCTGGTTCCTCCCTCCCTTGAAGGAACGGGTGGTATATCTTCTGCGGGAAGCACTCCAGGTGGTGTCCCTTAGCTCATCAACAATGAGTGTTATTGCAACTTAATATGTGAAATATATTAAACACTTGTTTATTTTTCCAAACTTTTGTCCACCCTGTGTTAAGTAGAATGCCCATCTGATCAATGAAGTTCAATCATGATTTTCCAAGTAAATGAAAGACTCAGTGAGTTAGTTCAGCAGTCAGCCAATTCATCAGAAGGCAAGGTCTGTGTTTCTTCCATAAAAGTTAGACCTAAGGGGTAACAGAACTGGACCCATTCATTAGTGAGTTTTATGAAACTGTTTTCATTATGTGTGGTGATGACCACCTCACTTGCTACCTCACAGGTTTTACATACGGCAGCAACAAATGCAGCACCACACTTTTCTCTACTGGTTTTTAACGTGCGGTTCCTGAATGAGCAGTGATAGCACCACACGGGAATTTGTTATAAATGTAAATTCTCAGGCTCCCCTGAGACCTACTGAATTAGGAACTCTAGAACTGGGGCCCAGCAATCTGTATTTTAGTAAGTCCTCCTGTTAATTCCGACATACTCTGAAGTTTAAAAGCCATTGTCTCACATCTCCCCTAGACAGATATTAGTGGAGAATCTTAGTTTTACACTTGGCTGCCCTCACACGGAGCTACAGTGTGATGACTGTCATAAGCAGTGGATTCACAGGCTACTGACCCATTAGGAAGTGCTCCATTTAATCTGAAAGCAAAGCTGAATACGTGAGCACACATTACACAGGAATTTATGCCCTGCAGCATGAACAACAACAACCAAAAACAAACCTAACTTCAAATGTTTAAGTCATTGGCAATTTAGCTGACTGTATGTTCTGAGGAATCAGGCCATGAGTGAGTAAAATATAATCATAAAATATTTGATAAAATATCCAATCTCTATCTTAAAAGCAATGAAATTCTGATATTTTAGGGGAGTTTTGTTTGTTTTTTCAAATAACCAACTATAGATTGTTTGGATACAGACCTTTCGTAATACAAAATAGTTCATTCATTTTTGAATATTTCTGCTTATTTATTGCCAAATAAAAATTGCATACATTTATCATGTAAGACATGTGGTATTGGAATATGTATACATTTTGAAATGGCTAAATTGAGCTAATTGACATATGCATTACATCACATACTTTTCTGTGGTGAGAAGACTTAAAATCTACTGTCTTGGCAATTTTCATCAGTATAATTTTTTATATTAACTATAATATAGTCACCATGTTGTACAAGAGATCTCTTGAACTTATTCCTCCTCTCTAACCTAAATTGTGTATCTTTTTTTTTTTTTTTTTTTTTTTTGAGACAGAGTCTCGCTCTTTCACCCAGGCTGGAGTGCAATGGCGTGATCTCAGCTCACTTCAACCTCTGCCTCCCAAGTTCCCACCATTCTCCCACCTCAGCCTCCCAAGTAGCTGGGACTACAGGCACCCACCACCATGCCTGGCTAATTTTGTTTTTGTATTTTTAGTAGAGACGGGGTTTCACTGTGTTAGCCAGGATGGTCTCGATCTCCTGACCTTATGATCCGCCTGCCTCGGCCTCTCAAAGTGCTAGGATTACAGGCGTGAGCCACCGTGCCCAGCCTAAAATGGCTAAGTCTTTAGGAGAGGAAGAGTGAATAGTCATTCCTCCTTTCATCTCATATTTTAAACAATACTTTCCTTCCTTAAGTTAAAAACAAATCTTTTCCCCCTTAAGTTAAAGATTTAGCAGCTGTCGTGGTTAGGACACAGGGTGATTGATGTGTGAGAGGAGATGAGTGGGAAGACTCAGGGTGGGGCCGACTCTTTTCCAGACTGCGTGCAGGTAGAAATGCCATCAGTCATCGCTTCCTCTGGACAGACTAATTTTTGTCTGTCTCTTCATAGATGCCCATGAGGTTACTCAAAGCCCCATATCGGATTTCCCTGCCCAGGACCTCTGTTTCCAGGACTCTTCAGCCCACATCTCTGACCCACCGTTGCCCTTGCACCGGGTTTGTAATGCTGATCACTTCCAATCAGCAAACTGTAGTGCTTGAGGGCCTCCTGTCCTCTGCCCTTGAGTCAGTCGTTTCCATCTCAAAAATAATCACAAGGGAACTGAGACACACAGCCAGTGTCTTATGACATCATTTTCCCCCTTCCTTCCTATTTCCCCACCAGGAACAGGCCAATATAGTTGCTGCTTATTAAAAGTTTGTGGGAAGAAAAATAAACGCAGACGGTAGTTTCCCTAAATCCTAAATGTTTCTACAGACTCTCTTTGAATTATCAATTTGGGAAGAGCGTTTAGAAGCTGGACCTGGAACTTTCCAGGAAGCTGGCTTAAACCATCCTTACCTGTCTGTCCACTACTAGAGCAGCCTCCAGAACATCTGCTTCAGAGGCCAGGAGCGCTCTGCGCAGCGGTGCAATCTTCAGGTTGTTGGCCCAGGAAATCTTCCAGGACTCGCCATTCCCATTCTTCAAACGCCTTCAGGCAGTGGCTGCATATTGTTCCCACTCAACTTGCCCTCCTATCTTGGAAATATATTTTCATTTTCTTATGCTTTTATTTAATTGTCTGTGTTCACGCTGTTTTACCTCAGTACGTAGCTGCAAACCTTGTAGAACGATACCATATAAAATAGTTAACATCCTCTTGGCAGCACTCTCAACCTCTCCATCTCACTGAGAAACAAGTTGACATACCAGGTTGGAGATCAACACAAACTAACCAAGAAGCTACACTGTTCTAAATTAAATGTTCATCACACTTTAACCGAGATTGCTACCTAAGTAACTTTAATTGCTGAAGTTGCCTTCATGGAAAGCCCTCAGGTAACAGCAATTATAAAGGACACATTTATGACCAGGTAAGAGTCTATCCACATCAGCAGAGAACACAATGACTGTTGTTTAAGTACTTCAGTGTAACAGAAACAGGACATACACTGATGCATGCATTAAAATGCTTATCATCCATGACCTGTGACGGTATCTGATTTGGGCAGCTACATTTGGGGATTGGAGGGAAGGTGACTCAACCAATATGTGGCTTAATCGAGGCACGATAGGGTAGAGAAACACCCTGAAAGGCCAGAGTGAAGTGAATCAAAAGACGTTCTGTGATTTTGGGGGCACCAGGATTCTCCCATGGTCCCTGGCTTCACTTTGACACTGAAGTCCAATGGTTCTGATATTCCCAGAACATCTGTTGCAGCAGTTAGAATCACCTATCTTAGTTCTCCCTAATCCACAGCATGTGCCTGCTGAATTAACTGCTGTTGACATCGAAGTGCTTATTTCAAAAGACTCTTCTGTGTGCAAAGTTCAATCAGAAAAACACAGCGTAGACTTCTGCCTTCCTTCACCAACCTCAGTCTAAGGATAGGTTATTTCTGATCGAAAAATCTCCTCAGACTTGTGACTCCTCCAGTGTAAACAAATGTTCCTGTTCCTTTAGGACAAATGATGGATTGACTTTATGCTTGATGCTATCGGGCCAGAAAATACTTGCTTGTAAATGTGACATTCAAGGTGTTATCTTGGTCAGCCTATGGATAAGATGGGGACAGAAGGGCGTACCAGGCTTTCCTCTTTTCTACAGATCCTTTTTGCTAGAGCTATTCCTTTTCCTTGGGATCCTGGCAGTTCACCATCACCATTTAGTTTTCTAGAAAATCCATTAATTATCACAAATATTATTTACTTTCTCAGGGTTATGCTAGAATATTGTTTAAATCTGTAACAAAAGAAACTCAGGCTCCTTGTGACGCTTACATGTGTAACAGAGGAGTTTTGTAAAAAAATCAATTTGTAGGCATTGATCAGAAATGCAATATGCTACAAAGTTTACCTCTACTGTCTGATACCCTATCATTAATCTACAACAGGATTGTTTAAAAACTGTTACAAACTATTAGTACCCCATTCTGTAATCTCCCTCTCTCTGTCTCTGTCTCTTTCTCTCTCTCTCTTTCTCTCCCTGCTAACCCCATGACATTTATTCAGTAATGACAGCCACAATCACCCTTGGTTCTTTTGGCTGCAGTTTAAAATCAACCGTGACTGAAGGTAGGATTATTTAGCAGGAGAAACGTTGGCCTAGAAAATATGTGTATCCAGATATTTAACTTCCTAATGTTTTCCATTCATTAACAAAACTTATATACATTATTTGCCACGACCTATTAGTTTTTGCAGTCTGAGAAATAGAGACAAGAGTTATATGATCAAATCCCGACTGCCAGGACTTGAATAAGTTATTTAGAACCTCAAGTTAGTTTGTTTCTTTTAAATTTTTGTAGAATTAGCTGACTTTCGGGTTGCCTGTGCACATTAGAACAAAGGAGTATAAAATTGGCAGAGGAAAGACTAGAACATGAGGCAGCACTGTCTCATTCTTATTTACTTAGGGCACAGCCCAGTGACTTTAGGCACTCAATAATCATTTTGTGTATAAATGAATCAATATTTGTGGTTAACACTTTATAAATGTCAACTGTTATTATCGTTTAATACATCATTGAATGTCTTATTACTCTTAATAGAATTTCAAGAAAGATACAATTAAGTTAAATCAGGATTTATTTGGGATAAGCTAAGAATTATTATTATTATTATTATTATTATTATTATTTGAGACATAGTCTCGCTCTGTCGCCCAGGCTGGAGTGCAGTGGCACGATCTCAGCTCCCTGCAAGCTCCTTCTCCTGGGTTCATGCCATTCTCCCGCCTCAGCCTCGTGAGAAGCTGGGACTACAGGCACCCGCCAGCACGCCCGGCTAATTTTGTTTTTGTATTTTTAGTAGAGACAGGGTTTCACTGTGTTAGCCAGGATGGTCTTGATCTCCTGACCTTGTGATCCACCCGCCTTGGCCTCCCAAAGTGCTGGGATTACAGGTGTGAGCCACCGCGCCCGGCCATTATTGGCCTTAATTTACAATCATGGATATACCATAAAAAGAGTGTTAGTGTTTTAGAAGTACTGTATCCATTTGAAGAATGACGGGTGACTAAATGGTCATGGGTCTTCCTCCTCATGTCTTGCTGTGTGCTGTTCCGACTCTCCTGCAATATGGATCAGACTCTGAGCCTATCGTATGGTGAGACTCCCAGATGGATGCTATGTCTAAATATGATGGGTGGTTATGTGTGCACAACCTATGGCATGTACACCACCATACAATATCTGTTACCCCTTAGCCTCCACAATGACGTAACCCATCCACATTAAGCAAAAGTCTCTCTTCATCTTTTATTTTTCTGATTTCCCTCTTTCCTATTTCTCTCCTTCAGTACAGCTTTTCCCTTTGATGCATTGTATTTTTCTCCTGCTATACCTTAGGACAGCTAGTGGTATTTTTGGACGCTATTTACCCAAACATGGAGTATCTTAGGGTTAGGAATGTTTTAGGGTCTTGGTCTATATTTAATATAATCATGTGATAAATATATATCTAGTATCAAAATGGGTAGAAGCATTGAGGTTACAAAGCTTGAATCTTACATAGTATTTGATGACCTCAGTGTCGAAGAGAACAGGCAAACGAGTAAGTTGGTGGCCCCAGCATGTCGGGTAAGGGCTGGAATTCTGAGAGTAGTGAGGAAACCCAGAGGAGCAGGTGTGCAGAGTGATGAACCTCAGTAAACATGTGGTTAGCAGCGAGCTAGCACTCATTTTATTTTGAAAGAGATTTTCCTATCATGCCTTTCCCCCAGATAAAATTATTCAATGGCTCCCCACTAGTAAAAGAAAAACTTCAGCCAAATTAAATTTGAAGGAGTTTAATTGAGCAATGAATGATTCTCAAAATTAGGCAGCCTTCCCAGCCAGACTAGGCTCCCAGACTCCAGCTCAGCCACATGTTGGAAGAAGATTTATGGACAGAAAAAGGAAAGTGAAGTACAGAAAATGGAAGTGAGGCACAGAAACAGCTGGATTGGTTACAGCTTGGCATTTACCTTATTTGAACATGGCTCGAACAGTTGGCTACATTTGATTGGCCAAAACTCGGTGATTGGCACTAGGGTAGGCTACATTCTGCTTACACTTCACTTGTTACAGTTCACAATGTACAGAAAAACCTTTAGGCCAAACTTAAATATGTAAGGAGGCAGCTTTAGATGAAACTTGATTTAATACCATGTTCCCTTGAGTAAATTTTAAAATGTATTTCTTTTCAATGTTATTCAATGTCATCTTCCACGTGCTCCCCTTCCCCTGACATCCTCCCAGTCACATCTACTGCCTGCTGCTACCCACAGCCAAATATCCCTCTGTACGGGCCTTCACATATGCTTCTTATCTGCTAGTCCTGACCCTTTAGCTCATACCTAAAGGGATCTTTCCTCACATTTATGTAGATGGAATGCTGCAAATCCCGGGTTAAATGCTACTTCTCCAGGAAGCTGGCTTTTATGCCCCCATAGTGATTTCTCCATAGAGAAATGTTTACTTCTCCTTACCATTTGTGCCAGAAAATGTGAGACTCACTAGAACAACCCTGAAACAATGGGTTTGGAAAGAGGAAGAATTAAATTAAAAGGCCAACAATGAGGAAACTTTGATTTCTGGGGGGCCACAGGGTCACCCCGATATAAAATTGCATCTGCGTTGTGATCAGTTTCTAAAGGTAAAAGCCACCCATGGAATTCGGAAATAGTGATAGACCCAGCCAATGGAATTGAGAAACAGTGATAGACCCAGCCAATGGAATTCAGAAATAGTGATAGACCAGCTTCTAAAGAGTTGATCTATTGGATGTACAGGGAAGTGCAAAAAAAAAAAAAAAAAAGGAAAAAGTGAAATATATAATCCCTTGGTTCTTGTTATAATAGCTAAACTGAGAGAAAAAAAGGGTGCTGACACCAACCTCAGATTTTGGTCAGTCTGAGATATGGCCACTAGTCTCAAAGCCATCCTCGAAGGGAAAAAATATGCTGGAATATGCTCTGAAACATCTGGTCATCGAAAAGAGAGTCCAGGTAAGACAGGAAAAATCAAGAAACTACTGAAACCAGGGGTGCAGCATGACGAAGTTATATCAACAGTTTATGGAAGAACCTTTACTGAAATAAATGTAGGAGTAATTAATTCAGAGTCAAGTTTCTTTGGTTTTTGAATACTGCAGAATAGAAAAGCATGTTTGGGTTGATACAAGATCCACAGCTCACTATGGAACAATCATAGATCACCACACATGATTCAGACACATAGCAGGTTATTCCCTAGGGATCAATTAGCCTACTAGGCTAAATAAAAGACAGTATAAAGTTGTTTACCCTGAGGAGGACTATCCTATTTCCCCTATAAATGCCCATTGGAACATCCCAGGTGAAGGGGCTGGTATGTTTTGTGTGCAAGCCATGCTGGCTTGGCTTTATGATGCTCAGGATATTCATCCACTGTTTGTTTCCCTTATGCAGGGCATGGTTAATGCTATGGTTAAGGGGCCCCCTTTGTATAATCACTCAGTGTAGCTTTACTGCTGCAAAATCAAGCAACAGTCCAAAGAGCCCTATGGATTTGCTATCTCTGCTTCCCCTTATGTGTCTTAGAGATACACACAACAACAACAAAACATAATTAACAAGAAAATGGAGAGAGAAGAGAATCAAGAGATTCATTTTAGCAGGGTGGAAAACTTTAGATGACTATTAACAAATTGAATAAATAAAGTAAACGTTAATGGTGTTGAAACAAAGGTCTGAATGCAGTGCTATGGAAGGTTGCAGGGACCAACAGGAACCATTGCTGATCCCCCTTTGGCCGGTTTCCCCATTACAGGGCCCTACACAAGTCTATTTGTGTCAGTTTGGAGTAATTTTAAAGGCCAGAAAACAAAGATTCCAATGAGGAACCCAGCCTGGAATCACCTGGACAATGGTCAGGCAGATTAATCAAGATAAAGTTTATGGAGGGGCCAGAGTCCCATAGCTGAACCCCTTGCCGTTTGAGTGGCAATTACTAGCTTGTGATCAGACTTTAATTGAAATGGACTCTATAACTGAAGGACACAAATTAATCTTGAAACCTAAAATATGATCATGGCTTGAGTGATAGTGAAGAAAGGCTTTAATAGGAAGGACAATAAACAGAAAATTTTCGTAGTCAAATGGAATTTGTTTATGGGGACATGCTACCAGGGTGTTTTAGTCCCTTTCTGCTGCTATAACAAACTACCTGAGACTGGGTAATTTATAAAGAACAGAACGGGCCTTTGCGGCTTTGCCTCGTGGAAATGATTTTTCACAGTTCTGTGGACCAGGAAGTCTAAGATCAAGGCTAGTGGAGTTTGTGCCTGGTGAGGACCCATTCCTCATAGTTGGTGGCATCTAGGTGTCCACACATGGCAGAAGGTGAAAGACCAAAGGCCTCAGCTAGATCCCCCCAGTCCTTTTTGTTCTGTTTTGTTTTTGAGTCTCACTCTGTTGCCCAGGCCGGAGTGCAGTGACATGATTTTGGCTCACTGCAAGCTTCGCCTCCTGGGTTCACACCATTCTCCTGCCTCAGCCTCCCAAGTAGCTGGGACTACAGGCACCCACCACCATGCCTGGCTAATTTTTTTGTATTTTTGTAGAGACAGGGTTTCACTGTGTTAGCCAGGTTGGTCTCCATCCCCTGACCTTGTGATCCGCCCGCCTCGGCCTCCTAAAGTGCTGGGATTACAGGTGTGAGCCACTGTGCCTAGACACCCAGCCCTTTTATAAGATGCTAGTCCATTCTTGAGGACAAAGCTCTCATGACTTAGCCACTTTCTAAAAGGTCCCACCTCTTAATACCACCACAATGGGGATTAAATGTCAACATATGAACTTCAAGGGACATCCAGATCATAGCACAGGTCAATGTAAATTTATCCAGCGTGTTCACAGGCAGAGCGACTCTTTTTCCCCTAGGATGGACTTTGGGACCACCTGGGGGTTATGCAGAGGGCAATGGAAAACTGGCCTATGGAGGGCTTGCCTTGTGGAAATGATTACAGGAATTTGAGGGGTGCATTGAAGTGGGACATGCCAATGCCTATCAGAAACCCCCCTTCTAGGATTAGGAGGTACTTGGAGCCAGCAAGAGGATATCCTGGTGTGCTCGCTTGAGATGGCCACTGGGTTCACGTAATGAGTGAATATTGTGAGGCTGCAGCAGCCCAGAGATGGGCTGAATTACATTTATTCCTTTGTACCTTCTGAGGCACAAAATGCTCGTAAAGATTCTTCTTTTTGTTAACAAGAGAGACACAGACTATAGATGGCTATGGAGCAGAGAAGCTGGGAGGAAGGCCCTGTAAGCCGAATGGATGACATTAGTCCTGGGGGGTGGACGAAGGGGTATAGACAGGACTAGACACTTGCTCGAGACTTGGCTTTGCTTACCCAGAAACAGATGCAAATGATCAGAGACAACGGAACAGATTATTCTGCACCAATTTGAATGAACAAGTCATATTTTCTTAGTTCAGGAAACACTTTTGTCCTAACAGTAATGGTTTGATAGAGAATTGAAATGGACAATTAAAACATTGGTCATCGGCTGGGTGCGGTGGCTCATGCCTATAATCCTGGTACTTTGGGAGGCCAAAGCAGGCGGATCACCTGAGGTCGGGAGTTCGAGACCAGCCTGACCAACATGGAGAAACCCCGTCTCTACGAAAAATACAAAATTAGGGCTGGGCACAGTGGCTCAAGCCTGTAATCCCAGCATTTTGGGAGGCAGAGGCGGGCGGATCACGAGGTCAAGAGATCGAAACCATCCTGGCTAACACAGTGAAACCCCGTCTCTACCAAAAATACAAAAAAATTAGCCAGGCGTGGTGGCGGGCACCTGAAGTCCCAGCTACTCCGGACATTGAGGCAGGAGAATGGTATGAACCCGGGAGGTGGAGCTTGCAGTGAGCCGAGATCGAGCCACTCTGCACTTCAGCCTGGGCAACAGAGTGAGACTCTATCTCAAAAAAAAAAAAAAAAAAATTAGCTAGGTGTGGTGGCACATGCTTGTAATCCCAGCTACTCCGGAGGCTGAGGCAGGAGAATCGCTTGAACCTGGGAGGCAGATGTTGCAGTGAGCCAAGATCGTGCCGTTGCACTCCAGCCTGGGTAACAAGAACAAAACTCCATCTCAAAAAAAAGTAAAATAAAATAAAATAAAAAATTTGGTCATCTAAAATAGGGATAAAAATAGGCATGAAGGGCCGCCTTATATGTTTTCTTGAGTGTGTGCTCACATTCAAAATGAGGGCGCCAAGCGGGTGGTCCCACTAGATAGATTCCTCCACTTTTCTGAGGGTCCTAAGGAAGAGGTAGGGCAAATGTTGTGATGAGTATACAATTCTTCTTACAAAGGAGTTGTGATTACAGCTTTCTTTCTTCCCCACATCACCTCAAATTTCTTTTACCTACCTGCTATGGTGGTCTCGGGCCCAGGGCTGCAAAATACCAGAAGGAGGGATAATTCCTAAGTAAAAGCTGTAACTGTGCTTCCTAAGGACCAGATGGGGTAGATTGTGTCTTTACCCCATCTGGCAAGACTGAGGTTGACAGGAAATGCAGATGTATTGCTTAGTGGTTGACACGCCCCCTAGTTCTGTACCTCATCCTATATGAATGGGAGTCCACTGAGTGGAAGGCACTCGCTAAACTTGTATTGCTGCCAGGAATCTAGACCAGCACAATGGCTGAACCTAATGTGCTTTCTAAATGTGGAAAAGCTTAGAAACTCATAACTGGTGAGAAGAAGAAACACTAGTAGATTATAACAATGAATGTCTGGGTTACACAATGAGGAAAATTCAATATTATATTAATACTTTAAGAGGGGCTGAAGGCAAGAGATGATATTGTCTCTTAGCTCAGCGATTCCAGATGCTGGAAAGAGTGAAGCCATATATTGCTGAAAGCACTCCTGCTTGTGGAACTTGAGAGAATTGAACAGAAGCTGCGAACGTGAGTGATGTCACCCTGGGAGACATTTTGGTTACACCATATGATGATGGGCTGTACTAATTATTAATGACTGAATGAGATTCTAGTAATATGTCAATATTTGTTACTCTTATTTTTCAGATTATTTTACCATATTGAAATATGGTCAAACACTGGCATAATCGGTAAAATTATAATACTGGTAATGACAGTCAAATATACTGGGAAATTGAGTTAAAAGCTTTTTATTCGTACTCTACAGTAGCTCCTCCACATTTTAGACATATAAAAGAACCATAGTCAAAAGCCACAGGGTCGCCTGTTGTGTAATGAAGAATTAGACTGGCCTTTGTCCCTGGCCCCTGGAAGACTCTCAAACTCTTGGGAATTCCTGAGTAATAGGAGTGTCATTGTTATTCATGTGCTCCTCGGATCACACCTGAATTTGTGCTTAAGAAAAAGGTAAGCTGTGCCAAAAAGAGCAGCCAAGTGATTGGAGAGTCGGGCTTTGAGACACCAGATGTTAAGTTTGACCTCCAATCTCTGAGGGGTGGGGCTAGAGATTCAGTTAAAATATGTGGCCAATGATTAAGTCAATCCTGCCTTTGTGACACAGTCTCAGTAACAACTGGGGGCGCCGAAGCTCAGGGAAGCTTCCTGGCTGGTAAACATGTGGATATCCTGAGAGGATGACAGGTTCAGATTCCGCACGGAGGGGCATGGAGTCTCTGTGTGTGGACCCTCCCAGACTTTGCCAGATGTGTTTCTTCCTTGGCAGGTCCCAATTTTTATTACTTATAATAAAACTAAGCATAAGTATTTCCTGAGTCCTTTGAGTTGTTCTAGCAAATTATCAAACTCGAAAGGGTCATGGTGATGCCCACATTTCTAGCCAGTTGTTCAGCAGTGCAAGAGGACTGGGGACACCAGAAGTATGGCTGGTGTCTGAAGGAAGGTCAGTCCCTTAAATCTGTGGCACCTGTAGCTAACTCCAGGTGGTAAGCATCAGAACTGTGTTGCAGTGTTCGAACTACCATTTGACATAGTTTTCCCATTATGTTACAACTTCTCATTGCAATCCCTGTAAGCTCCTTGAGGGCAGGGATTATATTTTACACTTCTTTGCCTTGAATGTAGTAAAAATTTAACAAGTGGATTAATAGTAGGTTAAAAGGCATTTTCCAAGAAAAAGACTTGTTTTGCTAATTATTTAGTTATAGAATGCTCTTATTTGTTCTAAAGACAAGGAATAGCCAAACTGAGGCCCGGGAGGTAAGGAGATGGGCTTGGAAGGTCGCTAGGCCTCTAGTTCTGGCAACCCAGTGTAAAATCCCAGGTCTAAAATGCGCTAGCTGAAGGACCTTGGGCAGGTTATTGCATCTTTTTACACCTCAGGTTGCTCATTTACAAAATGGAATAAATACTAATTTTAGGCCATTTTGTGGTGACTATGAAATGCAAGTTCTTAACATAATGCCTAGTTTTATGCTGAATAAGGATTAGCTCATACTAATGGTTAAAAGAAAAAATTGACTCAGGGAAATATGAAGATTGATATTTTTTTAAATGGGGGTTGGTGGTTTGGAAACCAATAAGCACTGTTAGTCTTTCTATTTCTTTTTAATTGAATAAGCAGTAAGCCAAAACAACTATGACTTGCTTGATGTTTTAAAATACTTCTATTATGTAGACCAAACTTAAAACTGTAAGAAAAGCTGTTTGAGACACCATCCTAAAGAATCACACAATTAAAATTCTAGTTTCTCAGATGCTAATGTTTTTTATTATTTTATTATTTTAACCCATCAAGTCTATGAAGAAAGACAAGAAAACTGTAAAACAAATCGAACAGCAAATTAAAAAGAAAGTGGTGAAAATTTACAGTTGAGAAAACAGTGCCCACTCCTGACATATACTCCAGAATAGCTTTATTCTCTCTTCCAATATTTGCATCTTAATTTGTAAACAAAATTATTCATGCAGCTGTCCATTGACATTCCAGAACTTTAAAGGTAGGATGCAAATTAGGATCCAAATTAGGATGTAAAGTCCGTGAACCACTCAAACAAGTTGCAGTGAGATTACACTCCTACCTGGTGATTATTCCTGATTCATCAGAAGAGGCAGTATCTGTTCATTTCAAAACTAACTTGACACTGATTCCTTCCAGGTGCTTAAAAAGTCAGTTTCCAAAGCAATTAAACATGAACAAAGTGCATCAGAACTTCATCTCAGTAATTCATCATAGTAACATAAATTTTTTTCATGCAAAATTATAAAATGGGGATTGGAAATTGGATGCCAAATATTGTTTGAGAACTCATTTTTGATAGCCACATGAGCAGATGGCTGCTAACAGTTGCAAGCAGGGAACCAGGAGCCAGGCAGTCTGCGTTTAAGTCCAGCTCTGCTGCGTACTAGCCCGGCTCCCTCTGTGTCTGTCTTTCAGTGCCTCAGTGTTCTCACCTGTAAATCAGAATCAAAACAGGACCTCCCGCACAGGGCTGTGGTGAGGATTAAATGGATTATTCCATGTCATCAGTATAATGCATGGCACCAAGGAGGCCTCAGGAGATGTTTTGATCATGATCCTGCATATTTATCTCTAAAAGATGAAGACAACTGTTTCAGAAATTACCATGAGATAGACTATTACATTTTCAAATTCCTAAGGTGAAGAATTGAATAGAAAGGCTAGAAAAGTACAGTGAAGCCTTTGTGGACAGAGAGGGTTTACTTCCTCAAGCATTTGTAGGCCCCCAGTCCTGCTGTCATTCGTTTTTTCCCACAAGCAGAAATGTAATTGCCTATCTCCAGTGATAAATAAAGGGTGCTGAGCACCAACCCACTGTGCAGTCTGAGGACTTTCTTCAATGTCACAGGGCTGAGCTTCTAGGATGTCCATAGGAACGAGGCACACACAGGGCTGGAGGGTGTGATGGCTGACTCCCTGTTTTCATGAGCTGCAGGGAGGGTGGGATCTGGACCTGGGCCTCAGACCCAGCATCACCCTCTCTGCTGCTTTTGGGGCCCAGAGTGCATCAGAGAGAAGACAAAGTCCTGTCCCTCCCTGAGCGATGTGGATACACCATCCAGAACTTTGTAGTTTTTTGTTGTTTTTGTTTGTTTTGTTTATTTTTTTGAGACAAAGTCTCGCTCTGTCACCCAGGCTGGAGAGCAGTGGCACGATCTTGGCTCACTGCAACCGCTGCTTCCTAGGTTCAAGCAATTATCCTGCCTCCATCTCTGGAGTAGTTTGGATTACAGGCACCCACCACCATGCCTAGCTAATTTTTTCTATTTTTAGTAGAAATGGGGTTTTATCATGTTGGCCAGACTGGTCTCGATCTCCTGACCTCAAGTGATCTGCCTGCCTCAGCCTCCCAAAGTGCTGGGATTACAGGTGTGAGCCACCGCGCTCAGCCCTCTCAAGAACTTTTGTAATAAGAATGGGTTGTGCATGAAAATAAGCTCCAGTTGTTTGTATCAGAGACTGACATTCACCTAACATATAATCGTTATACATGTGGATGTAAAAGTTATACTGATTATACTATTCACAATAGCCAAAAGGTGGAAACAACCCAAACTTATCCACTGATGAATAAGTGAACAAAGTGTGGTACATTGGCAAAATGAAATATTCTTCAGTCATTTAAAAAGAATGAAGTGTTGGGCCAGGTGCAGTGGCTCACACCTGTATTCCCAGCACATTGGGAAGCCGAGGTGGCTGGACCACCTAAGGTCAGGCGTTCCAGACCAGCCAGGCCAACATGGCCATACGTCGTCTGTACCAAAAATACAAAAAAAAATTAGCTGGGCGCAGTGGTGTGTACCTGTATTCCCAGCTACTAGGGAGGCTGAGGCAGGAGGATCGCTTGAACCTGGGAGGTGGAAGTTGCAGTGAGCTGAGATCACGCCACTGCACTCCAGCCTGGGCAACAAAGTAAGACTCTGTCTCCAAAATAATAATAATAATAATAATAATAAAAAAAAATAAAAACAAAAGAATGAAGTACTGATACAATGTAGATGAACCTCAGAAACATGATGTTTTATGAAAAAGCCAGGTACTGTATGGCCCCTTTACATGAAATATGCAGAATAGGTAAATGCATAGAGACAAGGGGCAGGCTAGTGGTTTCCCAAGGCTGAGGAAGAGGCAAAGGGAGCGATGGCTTTATGTGTATGGAGTTTCCTTGTAAGCTGATAACCATGTTTTGGAACTAAATAGAGGTAATGGTTGCCCAGCACCATGAATGTAGTAAATGCCACTGAACTGTACATGTTAAAATGGTTAATTTTATGTTGGGTAAATTTTACTTTGATTTTTTTAAAAACTGATTTTTATTTATTATTATTATTATTATTACTATTATTATTTTTTATTTATTTTATTTTATTTTATTTTTTTGAGACGGTGTCTGGATCTGTCGCCCAGGCTGGAGTGCAGTGGTGCAATCTCAGCTCACTGCAAGCTCCGCCTCCTGGGTTCACGCCATTCTCCTGCCTCAGCCTCCCAAGTAGCTGGGACTACAGGCACCCGCCACCACGCCTGGCTAATTTTTTTGGTATTTTTAGTAGAGACGGGATTTCATCGTGTTAGCCAGGATGGTCTCGATTTCCTGACCTCGTGATTCGCTCGCCTCGGCCTCCCAAAGTGCTGGGATTACAGGCGTGAGCCACCATGCCCGGCCTAAAAACTGATTTTTAAAAAATCAGGCTCGGTCTGTAAGAATGAGTTAATTCTTCCTGTGAGTGTCAAACGTCCCCTATTAGAGATAACAGGAGTCCTGCAGCTGCTTGGTGAGAAGTTAGACCCGCAGCTCTTCACATTCTTGTGCAGTTTTCAGAGGTCAGAAACATCTTTATCGCACCAAGAAGCCCCCTCACCACCACCACGAAAAATAAATATAAATGCCAGATAAAAAACAAAAAGCAGCTACTTGCCGGTGTCAGAGAGTGATCACAAAGGCCAGGAATGGAAGGGCCAAGAATCCAGGGAGAAGGGAAATGCGTTGAATTGGGTCAGCGTTCTCCCTGCACGTATTTGCTGCTTGTTCAGTATTGAAGGTCAGAGAGACCGAGCAGAATGCTTAGAAACTGTTGACAGTTTCCTAGGTCTGGGGAGATAAAAGTGGAGTTCAGGGCTATAGAGGCAGTGAGCGAAGGCTGGAGGCGCTCAGATCCTCCCGCGGGGAAGGGGTTCTGAGGTGCATCCTAAGGCACTCACCGTTGTCAGTCCGACGAAACTGCTGGAGAGAAGGTGAGGACAAGAGTTCTGAGGGTATTAACTGTGGCCCAAGAAAACTCACCAAGATCCTGGGGAAATGAGAACCTCCAAACAAGGAGGGCAGGCCCCGGGCCTCTGGTGTTGCAGTGGTGGGGGTCCCATGTGGGTACAAGGACAGCTGAACGGACCCGCTCTGTAGCCTCTCGGGCACAGGGTATGGTGAAATACACACCTCCCCATGGCACAGTGAACCCTGAGAGCACTATTTCTAGTCCCTAACGTCCACTCACCGCTGCATGGTTTGGGCTTTCACCTGACCACCTGTCCCTACAGCCTGCCTTTGCTCTCTGCCTTCTCCACCCTCTCCCCATAGCATTCCTTTCCCTGGCTTCCTTCCTCTGGGTTCAGGAGTCGCTGAAAGGCCTGGAATCCCACAAAGGGTCAATATCGTCGTGCCCACTTCAGGCAGGAAGAGATCCATGTTCGCTCCCCACATGATGATAGAAACAAAATCTGTCGGCTGGGCACGGTGGCTCACACCTGTAATCCCAGCACTTTGGGAGGCCGAGGCGAGCGGATCACGAGATCAGGAGATCGAGACCATCCTGGCTAACATGGTGAAACCCCGTCTCTACTAAAAATTACAAAAAATTAGCCGGGCGTGGTGGCGGGCACCTGTAGTCCCAGCTACTCAGGAGGCTGAGGCAGGAGAATGGCCTGAACCCGGGAGGCGGAGCTTGCAGTGAGCCGAGATCGCGCCACTGCACTCCAGCCTGGGAGACAGAGGGAGACTCCCTCCCAAAAAGGAAAAAAAAAGAAAGTCTGTCAGGAGGAGAATTCTGTCCCCTCTGAATGAGGGGAGCCTGGCAGGACCCTCTGCTGAACAGATGCCCAGGGCTTTCTAACCGCAGGCGTCTGTAGCAGGGTGGGAGCGTGTAGGTGCTTCGGGAGCACCCGAAGCAGCTACAAAGGCCCTGGCTGGTGGCTGGTGAGAGAATCCTACAACATCCAGGTGTCCTGAGCGAGGGTGTGCAGGCTGCGGGGAGGGAGCTATGAGTGTTGCTGAGGCCAACCTGGAATGTCTTCTTTGTGAGCACAGACTCCCACCTGGCGGTCCCCCAGGTGCCTGGCTGTCTGTTGGGAAGCCGTTCTCTGCCCCTCGCCCCACCCCCACCTCACCAGTTAGGAAACCTGGCAGGAATCTCCCCACGGATCCCTTCACACCTGCTTGGAAGGTTGGGGAGCAGGATGCTGACCCCTTTGTGTGGTTCCAGGCTATAATAGCTAATTAACCTGGTAAATAACAATTAATCTAGTGAACCTAAATTTGAATACCCTTTATATGAGTTTTCTTTTAATGTGTAGTATTTATCAAAAGAAATAATCTTCTTTAAATTGAACTGTGTGGGGTATCTGATATTTGTGCATACACACACACAAACACACACACACACATATATTGCATGTTCCATGGTACAGCATAGTACAGGAAACCAGGTGAATGGAGGGTCTGCTCTCAGCTGATGACTGGCAGACCAGCCACTGAGGAAGTGAGCAGGGCTGCCGGAGAGCCTGGGAAAGCACTGCATATGGGGAGGGGCGGGGAGGGAGAGGGCAAGGGAGGCTTTAGGGACAGGTGGCAGGAGATGGGGTGGGTGATGTGCGTGGAGTTTCCATCCACCTCTACCTATGAGCAAGAGCAGCCAGGAGAATGCCACACATGCCCCATGTCCTGGGCCTTGTGTGAATAACTCTGGATTCTGCTTCTCTGTAGGTTTTTTTTTCTCAGTTGAGTTTCTCACTAATTCTCTACTGTATTAGTCCATTTTCACACTGCTAATAAAGACATACCTGAGACTGGGCAATTTACAAAAGAAAGAGGTTTAATGGACTTATAGTTACAAGTGGCTGAGGAGGCCTTACAATCAGGGTGGAAGGCAAGGAGGAGCAAGTCATGTCTTACATGGATGGCAGCAGGCAGAGAGAGAGAGAGTTTATGGAGGGAAAATCCTCCTTATAAAGTCATCAGATCTCATGAAACTTTTTCACAATCACAAGAACAGCATGGGAAAGACCTGCCCCCATGATTCAATTACCTCCCACTGTGTGCCTCCCGCAACATGTGGGAATTCAAAATAAGATTTGGGTGGGACGAAGCCAAACCATATCATCTACCCCCACAGAAAAAGATGCATGAGGAAGGGAATCTCAGGAACAAGGAATTGATTCCAGTGTGAAACTTCCTCCTGGATGCACATGCAAAATCTTTAGTTTTGTGTTTCTTCAGGACACAGCTTGGGATCATCTGTGATGTCCTCCTTTCCCCGGCAAAGCGGATAATGCTGCCATGGGGCCAGGCTTGCCCTCATGCAGCTAGGGGTCACATCTGCCTGCACACAGCATGGGAGAGTGTGGAGGAGGAGGGACAGGACCCTATTTCCAGACAATTGTCTAACAGGAAGAGGATCATAAAATCCTAAGATTGGCTAATCAACCTCCCTGTTCTACAGATGAAGAAACTCACACTCCCAGGACAAGTGACCTCTCAGGACCACACAGAAAGAGAGTTGATGTAATAATTGTAGTAAGTGTTAGAACTAGCCAACTCTGATTATGGGCTGACTCATTTCATAGCACCTTATATAAATTATGCCTTTTAAATCTAGAAATTGGGTTCTGCTGTCATTATTCAGAATTTTAAAATGACAAAACTGAAGCCAAGTGAGATGAAATAATTTGCCTAATTTTCTGAACTCAGAAGTGGCAGAGCTGAGCGTTCCACCCAGGCAGCCTCGGCACTTTCAGCTTAGGGACCCAGCCATGTATTCAGTGCACCAGCACGCAAAGCCTGCCATTCCTGAAGGCTGTTTTTGAAAATGTGCAGGTTACTTCCTTGAGACCCACATTTGGCAGACCTGACCCTTCTCACCATAGTGTAATCAATGTTCAGCCCCCTTCTCCAATTTAAAGTGACAATTAGTAGGCTCTGTGAAGAATGAGGCATTTTCAGATGTTTTTGGAGAGAGGGGTCGTGATGCACTTATCTGGAGATTACTTGTCTAGGAAACTAACTACTGAAGTGCATGCAAATGAAACTGTTGCAGACACAACAAAACAGTATACAGTCAACAGCTAGACTATACTCAGCAAAGCGCAATAAAAATCCAGTACACTTAGATTTGCCTAAACTTTAAATGAGTTTTCTTTGAATACCTAGTATTTATCCAAGGGAATTGTTTTTAAACTTAAATGTGTATACGTATCTTGTGTTTGTGTGCACACACACACAAACACCCCCCCACACACACATATTCCATGTTCCATAGTATAGTATAGGAAACAAGGGAACACATCAGCTTTTGCCATCTTCATGACAAGCCAGGAATTAAAACTAAGTAAATTAAATACTAATGAAATATAATCCTTTAATTTCTAAGCAAACATTACTTTGACTTTAATTTAATCAACAAGATTATTTAACGTTCATTGAAAAATCCATATTCCTGCGTTTATACTCATGAAGCTTAACCAATTACAGAAGAATACAATACAAATAGTTTCTAAATGGACATAGAATTTAAATTCAGATTTTAATGAACTAACTTCTGGACATTGTAGAGTAGATAATGTAGTCAGAATTTTGCAAACGTTGGAGTGTATACTTAGTAATGGAGTTGATTAATAAATGTAAATGCAGTAAGATTGAGAATGGAATAGATTAAAACTTTATTTTATTCTTCTTGCCAGCTCTGTGGCTACATGGGTGTGAACCAGAACGAGGCAGAAGGGATCTATTTTTCTATTTAGTGCCAATGAGCCCCCATGGATCTATGCAGGGGCAGGGTGCTTTGTGCAGATGAAGGTAAAATCCCTCCCTGAGAGCAGGTCTGTGCTCAGGGGTGTTGGCTTCTCCATTCACAAGCGTCAGGTGGAGCTTGGGTGGAAACCACCTTGATTCTTCAGGGCAGCTGCTCTGGTTTGTTCCAGTTTTAGAGTTAGATTGTTTCCTTTAAGAGCCCTCTACCTCACAGTAACAGACTCTGGTATGGATTTGCATTAGTTGTTTATTTTGTTTTGTTTTTGCCCAAGTAAGAAATTGCACATTTTTCCTTGCACTCTAAAGTCAAAAAGCCGAAGTGGGAATCATTATAAATGCAACATCTGAGTTTCTGTTATAGCTCCTTGTTCTTGGAAATGTTTCATTTGCATCAAGGTCGTGCCAGACATGGTAATGAAGGCCCTGAACAGAGGGAGAACCATCAGGGACTGCTGTGTGAGCAAAGCGTGGACTTTCATCCTGAAAAATGAGTGCATCCGTAACAACATCCTCAAACATAGACGGCTCTGATTAGCGCTCCAGGAGCCCTCTCTCTAAAAACATCTGAAAATGCCTCCTTCTTCCCGGGGCTCACACGAATGGGGTAAGTCTCACGAAGGAGGGGCCTTGGTGCTCAGGAGGTGAAGCGTGCGCCGTTCTCCAGGTGTGCACGTGGGTCCGAGGAATCAGGAGCTCAGGCCGCACAGCCCCACTGCTGCCGATCACTGCTCACAGCCCCTGAGCCCTGCTCAGAGGCAGCAGCATTTCCTACAAGGGGCAAGGTGCGGCAGTCACCAGGACACCCTGGCTCTTTTTTGCAACAGCTGCTGCATTACCTAATAGCCACCCATGGCTTCACGAGGAGGGATGCTCACAGCCCCCTGCAGAGCAGCCGCCTTGTTCCAGCGCCACAGGGAAGCGTCTGCCTTGACTTCCACCCACGCAGTGTCCGCTTCCACACAATCACCCTGAACGGCAAAGGCTAAACACTTTGGTAATCCAAAACAGTAAACCCCAATTGTGCTACTCATAGTCCAATTTCTAAAATTTTACACTACAGCTGTTGAAAAATTCTAATGTTTATTTCACTGCCAGAATCAGCAGGGTAATGGATGTTTCAGCAATAAACATCATGAGCAACACATGAAATCTAATTAGCATCATTCCAATTTGCAACAGTTAAATAAATTATTACTCTGGGCTTTCTCCCCCCTAGATACCAATGCTTAGATTCCTGTAAAAATGTCAACTCTAGAAAAATCCTCTTTCCACTTCCAATTTTTTCTAATTCAATCTGTTTTCTAGTATTTCTTTAGAAACAAACTAATGAAATTCTCTATCACCCAGCTGTATTTACAACAGAGTAAGCTTTGTGACACCCTATACATGGAGTTTGCACAGCAGCAGTATCCATGGGAAAAAATAGTGGGACTGTGTCCCAGTGATCACAGACGAAGGATGCCAGGACACTCTGTCAAAGGAAACTCAGACCTCCACATAGGATGCTTGACTCAGGTCCCAGGTACTGTCACCATGACTGTCCCCCACAATTTTCCCAGGAGGGAGGCACGAGTAGGAGAGAACAGCCCCTGTGATGTCAGGGCCAACCTGTCTCCAGCCTCCGTTCTGCTAAGTGACTCTAGAAGTTCCTCTCCCATCTCTGGCCCAACTGACCATGTGTCGGATGCCTGGGAAAAGGGAACACAGACTTGATGATGATTCCTGGTTCCGAGCTCATGTCACTGTGCTCCCAGGCTGTTGACACAAGCAGGAGCCCTGGGTTTCTTGGATTCTAGCACATAGTTAATAACACAAACCCTGACAGCCTAGGTTTGAGCTGGGGTTGGTTAGGGGTGGGCGGTGGTAGGGGAATAACTTGGGAAAGTTATTTAACCTGCCTGGGTCTAAATTTCCTTGTCGCAAAGTAGGGAAAATAGTTGTACTTACATGGCACGTCTGTGATGTGAATTAAATGTCTGGCACCTAGAACAGTGCCTGGCCCCCAGGATTTGGTGTGTAAAGAGTCCAGGTATTGGTACGAGTCCATGTCAACTGTCTTCCCTGATCCCCAAACCCAGCTGCACCCATTAGTAACTAAAATGAGGCGGGCAAAGGGGATGAGTGGTGAGTGGCAGTGATTGCTAAAGATAGGTCCAGAGACTATATTTCTTAAGACATTCTGGGTCAGGAATAATTACATATAATCCAGCCAATAATTCCAAATCTATGTATTTATTTAATAAGCTTTTATTTAGGGCACGAAGGTGTCAAATTTTGTCCCAGGCACTTTACATATATTTAATCATTTAGTCTCCTCACAACCCATGAGAAATAACCATACTGTACTATCATTATCTACAAAGAAACATGAAGTAAGACCCTAGAGAGAGCCTCCAGCAAAAGGACATCTGTGGTCATCATACATTTTTCAAAAAAAGTTCAATGACAAAAAACCAGTTTTATAAAGTGTATGTTGAACTGTGATAAACTAGCAGTGCATTTAAGAGTGAAACACTGGCGTTAAAAATGAAAGCATCCTTGGAAAACAATCCAGCCCACCTTTTTGTCTCTGTTTTGGTACAATTGTGTTTTTTGTAAACTTCACAGCAAACAACAATATTTTTACCTTTGCATCCTTCTGTCCTCCCTGAAAGCTAACTCTCTAGAGGGAGAGAAAACAATATGGGGTTTGATGCAAGGCAGTGCCTAGCGCCAGGGCAGAGGGATGCACGTGCCTTATAGGAGCCCTTAGGGGCAGCGGGCGGGGCAGCAGCACAGACGCATACTTGGTGCTGTTCAGAAGGAGGGATGTTCCAGGTGCTGGGCGAAGCAGAGGAGGCGCAGCCGTGGGGCAGGGCACAGTGAGGCTGGGCATGTGGTGGCCCATGGGCACCTTGGTAAACCTGCTTGGGGGCTTCTGAGCCTCCACTTGTTGAAAAACAGAAGAAAGCCAAGGGTTAAGCCAGTAGAGGAAGGAACCACAAAGGTGTTTTTGCATGGTTAAAACAAGGAGATGGTCGAAGTATGATTTCATGGATCTGTGGTTTATCCACATGCAAAGAGAATTTTTTTCTTAGGTTCAGAACACTAAAAGAAGATAACAGTGTGAACAAATCTCCCAGGGAATCCACTCGAGAGATGAGGCACACTGACCACAGATGAGTGAGGTCCTCAATTATTAAAGTCTAGTTGCTCCATTAGGATGAAAGTCTCTGTGGGAAGTAACTTCTAATTAAAGCTGGAGGTGTTCCTTTATACTAGCAGTTCTTGAGGGAAACTGGGTTGGCCATCACAGTGGAGACTAGAGAAGGCTGGGGTGGTCCCTGGATACTAGAGGGAAGTTGGGGAGAAGTGGTGGACAGTGCAGCCCTGTCACAGCACAAGCTCCTGGTCATTGGAGAATGGCTGACAGAGGAAACCCTGCCATGACCTAAGCTCTTAAAGTGTCTGTCAAACTCTTAGGTTTATTAGACTTGAAGTCCAGTAGTCAAGCTCAGTAACTCATACCGGGTCTGATAAGCTGTGATGTCACATTCCCGAGGGGAGGAGAAGTAGCTCCAAGTTCTCATGTATGGGGTCTGATAAGACACCTTGTTCTCCAAGGGAGGGGAAAATACACTCCCAGTCCTTACTAAAGCAAGGCATATGTTGTCCAAAGGACCACCAGAATGGCTTGAGAGTAGAAAAAAGAGTTTTATCAGCAATATCAGTTTGCAAACCAGGGAGAGATCATCTCTGGTGAGAACCAACAGAGCTCTTGAGAGGTGAAGCCAGCTGGACTTCCTGGGTTGCGTGGGGACTTGGAGAACTTTTCTGTCTTACAAGAGGATTGTAAAACGCACCAATCAGTGCTCTGTAGCTAGGATTGTAAAACGCACCAATCAGCGCTCTGTGGCTAGCTAGAGGTGTCTAAAATGGACCAATCAGCACACTATAAAATGGACCAATCTGTGCTCTGTAAAATGGACCAATCAGTGCTCTGTAAAATGGGCCAATCAACAGGACATGGGCAGGGACAAATAAGAGAATAAAAGCTGGTCACCCTAGCCAGCAGTGGCAACCTGATTAGGTCCCCATCCACACTGTGGAAGCTTTGGTCTTTCGCTTTTCACAGTAAATCTTGCTGCTGCTCATTCTTTGGGTCCGTGCCATCTTTAAGAGCTGTAACACTAGGCTGGGCACAGTGGCTCATGCCTGTAATCCCACCACTTTGGGAGGCTGAGGCAGGCGGATCACGACGTCAGGAGATTGAGACCATCCTGGCTAACACTGTGAAACCCCATCTCTACCAAAAATACAAAAAATTAGCCAGATGTGGTGGTGGGCACCTGTAGTCCCAGCTACTTGGGAGGCTGAGCAGGAGAATGGTGTGAACCTGGGAGGTAGAGCTTGCAGTGAGCCGAGATCACGCCACTGCACTCCAGCTTGGGCAACAGAGCAAGACTCCATCTCAAAAAAAAAAAAAAAAAAAAAAAAAAAAAAAACTAACACTCACCAGGAAGGTCCGCACCTTCATTCTTGAAGTCAGCGAAATGACGAACCCACCAGAAGGAACCAACTCCGGACACATCTTGGAGACCACGAAGGGACTATCGCCAAGTGGTGAGTACCACTGGAACCCTTTTGCTTGCTATTCTGTCCTATGTTTCCTTACAATTTGGGGGCTAAACACCAGGCACCTGTTGGCCAGTTAAAAGCGACTAGCACAGCCACCAGACTAAAGACACAGGTGTCAGGCTTTCTGGGAAAGGGCTCTCTAACAATCTCTGACTGTTCAGAGCTGGGAGCATTGGTTTGCCTGGAACCAGCTTCCGCTTTCCCTGTACTTCTGGGCTGAGCTGAGGGTCGATAGAGAGGAAAGCCATTCAGCTCCGGGGTCCCAACAAAAAGTTGGCTGACCCTGCAGCCATGAGTGGAACTCTCAAAGGCATGTCGCCCAAGCAAGACTCACCCATCTACCCTATCTATCCTGACCCTTGTCTCCTGGGTCCTAACGCCTGTCAGACAAACTTCCTCCTGTCTCTCTTCTCCAAGGCTAGTCCTGCTTCTAAAAACCACTCCCTGTCTCTGGTGCTTTTCTAGATTCTCCTATAAGAATGATTTCTAGTATAAATTTTGGGACTCTGTTCCTTTCTTTAGGCACCCAGGCTCACCAATCAGAAAGATATAATCTTTGCCCAAAGTCTTGTTGTGGGGTGGGGGACTATCTGGGATTTTAGGATCCCTCCTCAGACTAGCAGGCCTAACAAAGGTGATTCCCGAAGCTAGGATATGGGGAGCCTCAGAAATTATATCCTTCCTATTCATATGATAAGTGAGGACAAAATGTGTTACTCTTCCAACCTGGGAGATTCCTTCCCTCCTTCAGGGTATAGCCCTCCACTCTGTTTTGGGGGCATATCATCTTTATAGGACAGGGGTAAAGTCCCAATACTAACAGGAGAAAACTCTTAGGATTCTAACAGGTTTTCGAGAATGCATCGGTAAGGGCCACTAAATCTGACATTTCTCGGTCCTCTTTGTGGTATAGGAGGAAAACTAGTGTTTCTGCTGCTGCTTCGGTGAGCGCAACTATTCTGGTCAGCAGGGTCCAGGGACCGTTTCGGGTTACGGGGCAGGGCTTTCGCTCTTCACAATAAATCTTGCAGCTGCTCACTCTTTGGGTCCATGCCACCTTTAATAGCTGTAAAACTCACCGTGAAGGTCCATGGCTTCATTCTTGAAGTCAGCGAGACCACAAACCCACTGGAAGGAACCAACCCTGAACACACTCTCTCTGAAGAACGAAGAGAAGGTTAGAGGTTTTATAAAAAGGAGAAATGTTATGTATTCCTCTTTGAGTAAGTTCATTGGCACTAGGAAGGGTTTGGGGAGCTGGCAAGCTCTGAATAATGAGCAAAGGTGGTGCGAAAAAGTAGTCACAGAATTGTAGCAAGTTATCTCAGAAGCTATGGATAAAACTGGTCTCAAAAGCAGTTCCAGTAGTCAGGCTTGCAGAGATTACATTCTTGGAGCAACATTTTGTAACATGAGTGCTTTATCTCCTGGCTTCTCAACTCTGTTTTAGTTGGATGTGATAAGAATCACATGCACATGTATATTTATTGCAGCACTATTTACAATAGCAAAGACTTGGAACCAACCCAAATGCCCATCAATGATAGACTGGATAAAGAAAATGTGGCACAAATACACCATGGAATACTATGCAGCCATAAAAAAATGGGTTCATGTGCTTTGCAGGGACATGGATGAAGCTGGAAGCCATCATTCTCAGCAAACTAACAGAGGAACAGAAAACCATGCTCTCACTCATAAGTGGGAGTTGAACAATGAGAACACATGGACACAGGGAGGGGAACATCACACACCAGGGCCTGTCCGGGGGTAAGGGAAAAAGGGAGGGAGAGCATTAGGACAAATATCTAATGCATGCAGGGCTTAAAACCTAGATGATGTGTTGGTAGGTGCAGCAAACCACCATGGGACATATAAGAAACCTGCACATTCTGCACATGTATACCAGAAGTTAAAGTAAAATTTAAAAAAGAAAAAGCTAGAAACTGATCTCAGGGCATCTAGAAACAAACAGACAAAAAAAGAATAACCCAATTTGTACAATCAACCTTCACACATGTATCATTCAGGTAGCAAACTATGTAAATGTTTGGAGTAATTTCATAGCTGCATAACCAAAGTAGAGCAGGAGGGCCCAGAAGGGCAGAAGACAGGAACAGGCAGGGACATGCCCAGGCAAAGCCCTGTGGCAGCTTAACAAGAGTTGGGGAACTGAATCCATGTGTGATACGCCTCAAGGAGAAACACTTTCTTTCTTTCTTTTCTTCTCTTTTTCTTTTCTTTTCTTTGTTGAGGCAGAGTCTCACTCTGTAGCCCAGACTGAAGTGCAGTGGTGAGATCACAGCTTACTGCAACCTCTGCTTCCTGGGTTCAAGCGATTTCCCTGCCTCAGCCTCCTGAGTAGCTGGGATTGCAGGCACACACCACCATTCCCGGCTAATTTTTTTTTTTTTTTTTTTTTTTTTTTGAGACAGAGTCTTGCTCTGTCACCCAGCCTAGAGTGCAGTCACGTGACTTTGGCTCACTGCAACCTCCACCTCCTGGGTTCACGCCATTCTCCTACCTCAGCCTCCCAAGTAGCTGGGACTACAGGCACCCACCACCACACCTGGCTAATTTTTTCTATTTTTAGTAGAGATGGGGTTTCACTGTGTTAGCCAGGATGGTCTTGATCTCCTGACCTCGTGATCCGCCCGCCTCGGCCTCCCAAAGATTACAGTCTTGAGCCACCGTGCCCAGCCGAAAATCTTCTTTATTAAAGTAGCTGTGTTAGTCTGTTGGGCCGCCTTAACAAACTACCAGAGACTGAGTGACTTAAACATCAGGAATTTATTCTCACATGATTCTGGAGGCCAGAAGTCTGAGACCATGATTTCAGCAAGGATGGTTTCTCCTGAGGCCTCTCTCCTTGGCTGGCAGGTGCCGTCTTCTCCCTGTGTCTTCACACGGGCTTCCCTCTCAGCATGTCTGTATCCTAATCTTTTCTTAGTAGGACACCAGTCCAGTTGGATTAAGGCTCACCAGATGACCTCATTTTAACTTAATTACCACTTCAAAGACCTTATCACCAAATACAGTCATAGTCTAGGGTACTGCAGGTAAGGGTTTCAACAAATGAATTTTGGGGTAGGAAAAAACTCATCCCATAATAGTGAGATAATTTTATTTGTAAAAAGGTAGTTATAGGTCAAGAAATGCACCTGGAAGTTAAACTTTTCTTTGGAAATAAGAACCCATTAAGAACCCAATTAGGCCCATACAGGCTAATTGCCTGATAAAGATCCACAAAATTATTGTCTAAATAAATGCCTTCACACTTCTCCAATGCTTTACCACAAAAACTCAACATTTTGTGAATTTGGAGTGATTGGGTTCACAGCAAACTTTCCAGCTATATGTGAATTTTTTTGTTACTGATGCCTTATTTAGTAGATTGACCCAGCAGGACTTAATCATTGTTTAAAATGCTTTTTAAAAAAGTGATCAAAATGTATGTCGTGGTGTTATAGGCGGTCGGGGGAACGCCATCATTATGCTGTTCCCAAGCTTGTGTCTTTTTAAAATTATTATTATTTCAATAGCTTTAGGGGTACAAATGGGTTTTGGCTGCATGGATGAATGGTATAGTGGGTGAAGTCTGAGATTTTAGTGCCCTGGTCACCTGAGTAGTGTTAATTGTACCCAATATGTAGTTTTTAAAATCCCACATCCCTCTCCCACCCTTCCTGCTTCTGAGTCTCCAATGTCCATCATAACACTTTATGCCTTTGTCTACCCATAGCCAAGCCTGCAGCTTAAAGGAGTTTCCATGAGATAGGAAAACAGCATGTTCTGATTATTTCTCAAACTCCAAGACAGAGGTACAGATGTGGTAACCTGGATCTGGAGAAAAAATTCCATTAGTTTTGTTCCAGTGGTTTCTGTCCTCTATGCCAGTTGAAATCTAAGAAAAAACAGTTATTCCATCCTAATGAGTTAAGAATGCTTATTAGAAAATGTATTAATGAGCATGGAATTTAGTAAGTATTTGGGGTTTGAAAATGATCTTATATATAATGACATTTAAAAGACTTTCCTACCAAAAATAAATCACATGGATGTACTAAGTAATCTGGAATGAAAGTAACACATATTATTTTTCATTTCAATAGATTCGGGTTAACATTTTGGTCACATTTTTCTCTAATTAGCATTTGAGTGTTAATGTGAGCTTTCCATAAATAGGTGCAAGTTACTTTAACTTTTCCATTGGTTCCCCATGAGAGATCATTGTTGTTCTTATATATGGATCTATTGAGCCCTATACTGTATGTGACACTAAAGCCCTGGGTCTCAGACTTCCTGCTCACGTTAAATATTTACTCTTCTTAGTAAGAGGAGTAAACAAAAATCACAGATGAAAAGCACTTTGAAGGACTCAGAAGATGTTAGAGCAAACTTTCTTTCCCTGTCCTCCTGTTTTCCATGTGGACGCTTCCCTAGTGTAATACTGGCCATCCCTTTCCCTCCAATAGGAGTGAATTCTCTGATTAATCAGTAACAAGGATCTGGCATCCATCTGTTGACATACCTTGACTCAGTGCAGTTAAGGATTTATGAATGAAACACCTCATACATGTTTAGTCACCCTCCCTGTTAGCCAGCAAGCAAGGCAGCATCCTCTCTCGAAGCTGGCTGCCTTCAAAGGGTCTGTTCTGTAAACCAAGGCTGTTTCTCGGACCAACTATCCCAAAACTAGGACGTGCCGAATAAGTAGAAAGAAGTATTTGTCTTATGTTTTAGTCAGAAGTTTCAGATACCAGGATAAAATCACTTTTGTCAGACCTGGATAAAATAAAGTCAGGATAGTATGAAGGAGAGATGGCTCATGCTCACATATGGGAGATAAAAACTGCTTTCAGGGACTTTCTAAAAACCCCACAAGAAACCTTTTTGCATCCTTCATGCATCTCCTGTTTTGACAAGGTTTATCACTAGATATTCTTTAATACTGCAGTAATTCAGATAAGATATCTCAGAACACTCGCCCAGTAATGACATCTCCACCAGTGAACTGACAACAGCTCTCTGGAACCAATGAATTCTATTTCTAAGCTACTTCTATAAAACTCTCTGTTTTTGCTAATGAAAGCTTCCCTTTGCCCTTCCCTCACAGATACATTAGTGGTTTACCATGCCATGCATTCCAGTTATAATAATTGATTCTTACCCCTGAGTAAACTCAATATACCATAGAAATAAATTTTCTCTAGTGTCTTTTTTTAGGTTGACAACAGAGATGTATAGTAAGATATTTATGAGAAATTGGCTCACGTGCTTATGGAGTTTGAGAAGTCTCACCATCTGCTTTCTGTAAGCTGCAGGCCCAGGAAAACTGATGGTCTGGTTGTAGTCCAGACTCAAAACTCTCATAACCTGGGGAGTCAATGATGTAAGTCTCCATCTGAGTCAGAAGCTGGAGAACCAGTAGCACCAATGTCTGAGGGCAGGAGAAGGTGCAGGTGAGAGCAGGAGCTGGTGTCTCAGCTCAGGGAGAGAGCAGATTTTTCCTTCCTCCATCTTTTTGTTCTCTTCAGGATCTCAACAGATTGGATGGTGCCCACACGTATTGCTGAGGGTGATCTTGACTCAGTCTACCTAAACGTTAATATCTTCCAGGAACACCCTCATAGATGCACCCAAAAATAATGTCCTACTAGTTTATCTGGTCATCCGTTGGCCCAGCCAAGTTGATACATAAAATTAACCATCACAACCTAGCATTCCAACCTCATTCTTTCATCCAGCAATACTATCAAAGGTGATAGACTCTCCTACATCTGTTCCATTCCATTAACCCTAAAACCCCAACAGAAGTCTCCATAACTATGATACTGAGTTAGAAGGCAACAGCCTGTGACTTACTGGGCTGTGTCCTTTGGTGCCAATTTGTGCTGTAACCATATCAAGTCATCTGATGCTCAGAAAGAATGCTTTAGGCATACCTCAACTCAAAGTTCAGTTCTGAACATGGGATAAAGCAAGATGAATTAACATAGATTGTAAGAGCACTTCTTTTGAGAGGCCAAGGCAGGCAGATCACGAGATCAGAAGATCGAGACCATCCTGGCTAACACGGTGAAACCCTGTCTCTACTAAAAACACAAAAAATTAGCTGGGTGTGGTGGCGGGCGCCTGTAGTCCCAGCTACTCAGGAGGCCAAAGCAGGAGAATGGCATGAACCCAGGAGGCGGAGGTTGCAGTGAGCCGAGATCACACCGCTGCACTCCAGCCTGGGCGACAGAGAGAGACTCCGTCTCAAAAAAAAAAAAAAGAAAGAAAAGAAAATGAGGCTTTAGCCCCGACATTTATTCTTTTTTTTTTTTTAATCATACTTTAAGTTTTAGGGTACATGTGCACATTGTGCAGGTTAGTTACATATGTATACATGTGCCATGCTGGTGCGCTGCACCCACTAACCCGTCATCTAGCATTAGGTATATCTCCCGATGCTATCCCTCCCCCCTCCCCCCACCCCACAACAGTCCCCAGAGTGTGATATTCCCCTTCCTGTGTCCATGTGATCTCATTGTTCAATTCCCACCTATGAGTGAGAATATGCGGTGTTTGGTTTTTTGTTCTTGCGATAGTTTACTGAAAATGATGATTTCCAATTTCATCCATGTCCCTACAAAGGACATGAACTCATCATTTTTTATGGCTGCATAGTATTCCATGGTGTATATGTGCCTGAAAGGTCGGGTTGCTCTCAAAGGGAAGCCCATCAGACTAGACATTTATTCTTTCATCTCATTTGCTGAGAATGCACGAAGTCCCAGGTCCTGTCCTAGGTGCTGACATCAAACAGTGAACAAGCAAAAGTCCCTGCATCCATGATGTTTCCATTCAAGTGAAGGAGTCAGGCAATAAATAAATAAATATGTACAAAATTGTGACAATTTTATGTATTAACCTGACTGGGCCACAGGATGCTCAGATATCTGGTTAAACATTATTTCTGGCTGTGTCTGTGAGGGTGTTTCCGAAAGAGATTTGTATTTAAATTGGTAGACCGAGTAAAGCAGATGGCCTCCCCAATAGTGAGCGGACATCTTCAAACCCATTCAGGGCTGAAAGTGAACAAAAAGGTCGAGGAAGCCTGAATTCTCTCGCTGCCTGATTGCTTAAGCTCAGACATTGTCCTTCCACTGCCCTCAGACTGGGACTTATCATCCCACACCCCTATTTTTTAGGCCTTTGGACTAGGACTAAACTAAGCCACTGGCTTTCCTGGGTCTCCAGCTTGTAGACAGCAGATTGTGGGACTTAGCCTTCATGAGTTCATGAGCAAATGCCTTGTAATAAATCTCATTTTACACACACATGCACACACACACACACACACACACACACACACACACAGACACATCCTTATTGGTTCATTTTCTCTGGAGAAGCCAAATTTAAAAAATAACATCAGACAGTATTAAGTGGGGACAGAAATCCAAATAAAGTGACAGACAGGTCATCATGTGAAATCTGGAGGGAAAGTATTCCCAGCTGAAGAAACACCAAGTACAAAGGCCCTGAGGTACAGGCAAGAGTGGCATGTCTACTGTTTTGCTACCTTGGTAAAACAAAATAAGAAAAAACAACAAAAACAAAATCACACACAAACACACACACACACACACACACACACACTACAATAATTTGGAATGGAAGAGAAAATATTAGACACCATGAAGGTAACTTTCTACTCTAGCCAAACCCAAGGCTGTCCAGCTACAATTTACCATACTCTAGAACCATTAAGAGGAGAGAAGAAATTGACTTTTAATACTGGTATCTATTAATTAGTGAGCACCTACCATGTACCACAGCGTGAGGCTATTTACATATACAATTGTATATGTACAATACATACGCATATACAATTAGGTCCTTGCGGCCATCAAGTGCCGTAGGAGTTACAATTTCCATTTCATTCTTGAGAATTCCAGAGCTTGTCCTGTTTCCTAATATCAAATTATATACCCTTTGCTGTTTTCAAGGACATATGCTACAGATACATCCTGGCACAATTTGAATTTGGAATAATTATTGTTTTCCTCTTTTATCTAATCTGAGACTAGGCTAAGTGTGACAGAAAGCCATTTCTCTCATACTGCTATAATGTTTGCTTGTATTATAAGTTTTCTGTGTTTTAGTGATGTATTAGAGTGCTGTTCTACAGGGATAGTCAATAAATCCACACATAGTGTGCCATGTGAATCATCATATTGCTTTTTGAAAATCTGTTCTCAAATAGGAGAAAATATAGATATGTGCTAATAATGGTGCATCAATTATTCATTCTTAAAATACACATTAGCTAGGTTTAAAGTTCTATTCATATGTATAAAATGTCAGAAAGATTAAGAGCTCAGGTTGCAATTCCTGAGAATAACCTCTATTCTAATTTTCCTACACTAAGAAAAATTTTCTCTTAGTGGTTGTATTAGTTTCCTACTCCTGCTGATAAACTACCACAAACTTAATGCGTTAAACAAAAATGTATTATCTTACATTCTGCAAGTTATCAGACCAAAGTAGGTATCACCAGGCTGCAATGAAAGTGTTGGAGGAGCTGCATTTCTTTCTGGAGACTCCAGGGGAGAATGTTGTCTTCCTGACTTTTCCAGATTCTAGAAGCTGCTCACATTTCCATGGCTCATGGCCCTCTGCCATCTTCAAAGCCAGCAATGGCCAACTGAGTCTTTCTAACGTCAACTCCCCCTGACTCTTCCACTTTTCAGGACCCTAGTGATTACATTGGATGCACCTGGGTAACCAAGCTCATTGACCTATTTTAACATTAGTGATTAGCTACCTTTACTCCACCTGCAACCTTACTTCCCCTTGGCCATGTCAGGTAACATTCATAGATCCCAGGGCTTAAGGGCATGGGCATCTTTTGGGGGCCATTATTTTGTCTACCACAGTGATTTTCATTCAAATTTATTCAATTAAATTTTGCTTGTCATCATGGCCTGATTAAACAGAGGTATTTTGATGGACTGCTGTGACTAGAGAGGTGCTATAATCTTCCCCACAAGTTTCCTTTATTTCCAGTATACACAACAGATTTCCATTGATTCTAAGGTAAAAATGCACAATTTGATTTAATTGCTCAGATTTGAACTGTAGCATGGTAGTCTCTTAAAAAGTTTTTTAAATAGCATAGAATTTGGGAGGGGGTTATGCTTGAAGACTGCAATGTCCATATACTTCAGGGTCTCCGAAGAGAATGACTTCACTGCTCATAAATCAGCATCTTTCTATTGATTTAGTATCACTGTGAGTTTGGTAGAGTTGGGCAGCTTGCTGATAGTTATTTGTTTTCAACTTTGCCGAGTATAACAATTTCTTATCTATTTCAGCGGTTCCCAGCAATGCCTAAAACAGCTTTACAGTTTCTAAGTCATGTTTCAATAAAAACAGTCCCAGGGCCCTGAAGTTATAAACTGATTGTAAAAGACAAGCAGTACATGGAAGCAAGAGGAAACATTAACAACAAAAACAACAGCAACAAAACCTGCGTCCTTTCTCCTCTCAATCTTCTGTTCTTTTCTCCCCTCTATGGCATTGTCTCCTATCAAATGGGCCATTGTTGTGGTGGCAAGGTGACCAACTGGTGGCCTAGAAGGCTTCTCGTCCTTTCAGAACCTTTTCACCTTGTGTAGAACCTGGTTGCCTTGATTATCTATGTAGATCTTTGCACAATTTATGCATTCATGGGCCATCTAGAATTAATGACTGACTAGATGCTTTTGTTTTTGAACAAATGTATTAGTCCTTCCACAGCATCGTGTAGTTGTTTCTGCTCCTTGGAAATGATCATAGGCTACTTTCAAATTCTCACAGATTTTTTTTTATTTGTTGTACAAATTTATGGGGCACATCTGCAATTTTGTTACCTGCATAGATTGTGTAGTGGTCAAGTCAGGGCTTTTAGGGTATCCATCAACCAAAATAACGTACATTGTACCCATCAACTAATTTCTCATCATCCACTCCTCTCATTCCACCCTCAGCATTCCAAGCCTCCATTGTCTGTCATCCCACTCTCTACATCCATCTATACAGGTTATTTAGCTCCCATTTATGGGTGAGAACATGTGATATTTGACTTTCTTCCCCTGGCTTGTTTCACTTAAGATAATGAACTCTAGTTTCATTCCAGTTGCTACAAAAGACACCTCACAGAATTTTGTTTCTTTGTTTGTTTGTTTTGAGATGGAGTCTCTCCCTGTCGCCCAAGTTGGAGTGCTGTGGCGTGATCTCGGCTCACTGCAACCTCCACCTCCCAGGTTCAAGTGATTCTCCGCCTCAGCCTCCCAAGTAGCTGGGATTACAAGCATGCACCAACATGCCCAGCTAATTTTTGTATTTTTAGTACAGATTCGGTTTCACCATGTTGGCCAGGAGGGACAGAATTTTAAATGCTTATACATACACGTATACCTCTTTATATTTGCCTACACAGAACTAACAAACCTTTGTGAAATGTAACCTACAGGAGATATGATCATATCCAATGCTGGACATGATGCAGATGCAATATACAAATCCATGAGGTAGACCCAGGTATTTCAGATCCTGACCTCGATCTCAGGTTTACTTATTAGACCACAGACCAAAGACTCCCACTGATGTCCCCACAGATTTCACCACCTATTTCTCTTGTCCCACACAGTCTACTCCAAAGTCACCCTCCTCTAGTCCTGTAGGGGATATTCACCTGAGATACTTCAGTGACCCTGCTCACCCTGGAAAATCAGGTGACAGGAATCATCAGTTAAGCCTGTGGACAGTGAGCATCTGTTGGCCTGGATGGTGTGGTGGGTGGAAGGCAGGACCTAATAGGGGCTTTTTATGGTTCCAGCTCCAAACCTCTGATCATGCCAGTCCATGCTGCAGGCTCCCATTCTATTTACGGTCAGGGCCACACGATTTACACTTACTGTCTCAGGTGCTTCTTATAACACTGTCTCCTCCAATTTTTGATAAGCCAATGCTTTTTTGATGGCCCCCCAAAATGCCTTTATCCTAGGCATTTTGATGTTCCCCAAAATGCCTAGGATAAAGTAGTACACAGGATATTATTTGACACCTGTTTTAGAATATATGGCATAATTCTGTTTCAACCTTTGCAACTGATATTCACACACACAAGATGAACTGATGAGCGTTTGGCCTCTCTCGAAACTACAGCTTGGACAACTAGGCTCTTCCTATGAGAGACTTTAAAACTCCTCCCGTGGTTAACAGCAGCTATGCTTATTAGGGCCAGAATGACTTATCTTCTTTTGATCACTCAAGCTGGGAGCCTCAGCCTTGTCAGGCAAATTGTAGTAGAGCTGCGGGGCTTCCTCTTTTCATAGTAGAGGTTGGAACCCTGCAATCAATTTCAGCAACATTTCTGAGATTTAATTTGCTATGTCTCAAGTGAAATCACTGAATCTATTATTACTACAAAGCATTGTAGTCTAGTCTCGCTTTTCAAATGCATTATAAATGTGAACACGGCCATTTAATTCCCATTCTACTTAATATATAATGGTTCTGACTTTTCACTGTTTAGTAGAAACTGATGTCTGTAGTGGTCTCTTCTACAGAAGAGTCTTCATAGTGACTTTAGTTCTCAGATTTCTGGGAAATGCCATGAAAAGACTTCTGAATATGCCACATTATCTTCTTCCTTGGATTTGATGCATTCTATAAAAGATAATTTTTCATATCCTTATAAAACAAGGATTATATATATTATATTCAAATTCATAGCTTTTAGATGTATTATCCAGCAGAAATATATAAAATAACCACCTCTGTCTATAATCAGAATGGTAGGAGCATAATTGATATTTTCTCTAGGTGAAAAATTTCCTGAGAGCACGCCTTTGGAACACTGGCACTGCTAATGCTGTTTGTAGTGGTCGGTCCTTCCCATTAGCTTGTTTTTCCCCTTAATTTATCTTCTCACTCAACCAATTTACATATTTGCAATCTCTATAAATAACTGAGCAGTAGCAATTTTATCAAATTTTTTAATTTAAAAAAGCTTTCACCTCTGTCAGCTTACTTACACTACTGCAGGCTTTTCTAATTCTTGCCCTGTTTTGTAGAAAAATGCATTTAGGCAAAATACCTTTAATCTTCTGATTAGTCATACATTGAATACGCTCAAAAACAAAAGGTAGTGAGACGAAGCATCCTGAAACAGGGTAATTTTCAAAAGTAGAAGAGAAAGCTGCACTTCCTAGACTTTTGTATTATTAGACTATCTCACAGTCTCACCTCCACACAGCAGTGAACAAACTACATTATTGCTTTTAACAAAGAAATGGACTTCTTAAGAGACTTCCAAGAATTTTTTCCTTTGTTAGTGGAAACTCACAGTCAAAATATGAATTAACTTACTCCATTAAATCAAATGACTTGAGTTAATAGGATTACTGAGTCTAGAGGAAAAACAGAAAAAATAAGCATAACAGTATTATTATTATTATGTTATCAATAATGGGAAAGGATTATTGTCATTCCTGTAGGGTAAAAAATGGCTACATAAATAATAAAGAAGAATTCTTAATTCACGTGAAATTGTAATTAATAATATGCACATGATTTTTCTTTTTAGTATTATTTGCACTGGAAGAAGAAATGGCTATCCCAACAATAAATTCTAATTATATAATTCATCAAAATATCAATGGGATTGTTGTGGTTCATATAGATTTGGATTATAACTTTTAAAAATGTAATGAAGTTACTATGCTTGTACTATGTTTCAGACACTGCGCAATGAATAAAACGTTCCCTCTAAACTCAAGATACATACAGAATTGTGGATTTAATAAGCAGCACAGTGGAATTAAAATATACAAAAGGAAAAGGAACCAACACACATGTGGGAAATCAAGTATTGAAATTTAGTTGATTTTTCTTATCTCTGTACTTTTGTAAACCCGCAACACCTAGCGCAGCATTAAGTCGGCCTTAGGTAGTGAGCTCTCCCTCCCTTATTCCAGATGCCACTCTCTCCAAATGGGGAAAAGCTTTCCACTTACAGAAGGACCAGTCTTGAGTCAGGAGTAGCCATGCACTCCTGTGAGAATCACCAACTAGATGCAAATACGTATTGACTGACTTGGGATGCCATATGAGGTAAGTGAAATTAGATGCCTGTTGTGGAAGCCCAACTCTGACAATTTTTATTCATGTGGCCCTGAGGAAATCATTAAGCCTCAGTATCTCTTTTTTTTTTTTTTTTTTTTTTGAGACGGAGTCTCGCTCTGTCACCCAGGCTGGAGTGCAGTGGTATGATCTCGACTCACTGCAAGCTCCGCCTCCCGGGTTCACGCCATTCTCCTGCCTCAAGCCTCCCGAGTAGCTGGGACTACAGGTGCCCGCCACTATACCCGGCTAATTTCTTTTTGTATTTTAGTAGAGACAGGGTTTCACCGTGTTAGCCAAGATGGTCTTGATCTCCTGACCTCGTGATCCGCCCGCCTGGGCCTCCCAAAGTGCTGGGATTACAGGCGTGAGCCACCACACCCGGCCTTTTAACTTTATTTTAGGTTCAGGGGTACATGTGTAGGTTTGGTATATAGGGTTTGGCATGTCATGGTGTATTGCTGTACAGATTATTTCATCACTCAGGTACTGAGCCTAGTACCCAATAGCTGTTTTTCCTGATTCTCTCCCTCCTCCCACCCTCCACCCTCAAGTATGACCCAGTGTCTGTTCCCCACTATGTGTCCATGTGTTCTCATCATTTAGCTCCCACTTTTAAGTGAGAACATGTGGATTTGGTTTTCTGTTCCTGTGTTACTTTGCTAAGGATAATGGCCTCCAGCCCCATCCATGTACCTGCAAAGAATGTGATCACATTCTTTTTTATGGTTGCATAGTATTCCATGATGCATATGTACCATGTTTTCTTTATCCAGTCTATCACTGATGGGTATTTAGGTTGATTCCATGTCTTTGCTATTGTGAATAGTGCTGCAAAGAACATATGTGTGCATGGGTCTTTATGATATAATGAATTATATTCACTTTGGTATATACCCAAGAATGGGATTGCTGGGTTAGATGGTTGTTCTGTTTTTAGCCCTTTGAGGTATCACCACACTGCTTTCCACACTGGTTAAAAGAACTTACACTGCCACCAACAGTGTGTAAGTGGCTCTCAGCGTGGCTGTTGTTGGTTTATAAGAATGCTAGTGATTTTTTGTACATTGATTTTGTATCCTGAAACATTGCTGAAGTTGTTTATCAGATTAAGGAGCTTTGTGGCAAAAACTATGGGGTTTTCTAGATACAGAATCATGTCATCTGCAAACAGGGATAGCTTGACCTCCTCTCTTCCTATTGGATACCCTTTATTACTTTATCTTGCCTAATTGCCCTGTCCAGGACTTCCAATACTATGTTGAATAGGAATGGTGAGAGAGGGCATGCTTGTCTTGTACCAGTTTTCAAGGGTAATGCTTCCAGCTTTTGCCCATTCAGTATGATGTTGTCTGTGTGGGTTTGTCATAGATGGCTCTTATTATTTTGAGGTATGTTCCTTCAATACCTAATTTACTGAGAGTTCTTAACATGAAAGGATATTGAATTTTATTTGAAAGCCCTTTCTACATCTATTGAGACAATCATGGTTTTTGTCTTTAGTTCTGTTTATGTGATGAATCACATTTATTGATCTGTGTATGTTGAATCAGCCTTGAATCTCAGGGATAAAGCCTACTCAATTATGGTGGATTAGCTTTTTAATGTGGTGCTGGAATTGGTTTGCTAGTATTTTGTGGATAATTTTTGTATCAAAGTTCATCAAGAATACTGGCCTGAAGTTTTCTTTTTTGTTGTGGCTTTGCCAGGTTTTAGTATCAGCATGATGCTGGCCTCATAGAATGAATTGGAAAGGAGTCCCTCCTCCTCAATTTTTTGGAATAGTTTCAGTAGAAATAATACCAGTTCTCTGTATATCTGGCAGAATTCAGCTATGAATCTGTCTGGTCCCAGGCTGTTTTTGGTTGGTAGGTTATTTATTACTGACTCAGTTTCAAAGTTCATTATTGATCTACTCAGGGATACAATTTCTTCCTGGTTCAGTCTTGGGGAGGATGTATGTGTCAAGAAATGTATCAATTTGTTCTGGATTTTCTAGTTTGTGTGCACAGAGGCAGTCATAGTAGTCTCTGATGGTAATTTGTATTTCTGTGGGGCCAGTGGTAACATCCCCTTTGTTGTTTCTAAATGTGTTTGTTTGGGTCTCTCTCTTTTCTTCTTTACTAGTCTGGCTAGCACTCTATCTATTTTATTTACTTTTTCAAAAAACCAGCTCCTGCCTTCATTGATCTTTTGAATGGTTTTTTTGTGTCCCATTCTTCAGTTCAGCTCTGATTTTGGTTATTTCTTGTCTTCTTCTAGTTTTGGGGTTGGTTTGCTCTTGCTTCTCTAGTTATTTTAGTTGTGATGTTAGGTTGTTAATTTGAGATCTTTCTAACGTTTTGATGTAAGTGTTTAGCGCTATAAATTTCCTTGTTAACACTGCCTTAGCTGTGTCCCAGAGATTCTGGTATGTTGTATCTCAGTTCTTATTAGTTTTAACGAACTTCTTGATTTCTTCCTTAATTTTACTATATACCCAAAAGTCATTCAGGAGCAGGTTGCTTAATTGCCATATAATTGTATGGTTTCGAGTAATTTTCTTAGTCATGAATTCTATTTTTAATGCACTGTGGTCTGAGAGACTGGTTAATATGATTCTGATTCTTTTGCATTTGCTGAGGAGTGTTTTGTGTTCAACTGTGTGGTCAATTTTAGAATACGTGCCATGCGGTGATAAGAATGTATATTCTATTATTCTTGAGTGGAGACTTTTGTGTATGTCTATCAAGTCTATTTGGTTCAGTGTTAGTTCAGGTCCTGAATATCTTTGTTAATTTTCTGCTTCAATGATCTAATACTGTCAGTGGAATGTTTCCTTCTCCCATTATTACTGTGTGGTATTCTAAGTCTCTTTGAACATCTCTGAGAACATGCTTCATGAATATGGATGCTCCTTAGTTGGGTGCATATATGTTTAAGTTAGTTAGATCTTCTTGTTGAATTGAACCATTTACCATTATGTAATGCCCTTTTTTGTCTTTTTTGATCTTTGTTGGTTTAAAGTCTGTTTTGCCTGAAAGTAGGATTTTTACTCCTGCTTTTTCTCTTTTCCATTTGCTTGGTAGATTTTCCTCCATTCCTCTATTTTGAGTCTATAAGTGTCATTGCATGTGAGATGGGTCTCTTGAAGACAGCATACCATTGAGTCTTGCTTCTTTATCCAGCTTGCCACATTGCATCTCTTAATGGGGCATTTAGCCCATTTACATTCAAGTTTAACATTGATATGTGTGAATTTGATTCTGTCATGTCATTAGCTGGTTCTTATGCAGGCTTCTTTGTGTGGTTGCTTTATCAAATCACTGGTCTGTGTACTTATGTGTGTTTTTGTAGTGGCTGGTGATGATATTTCCTTTTTGTATTTATTGCCTTTTTCAGGAATTTCTGTAAGGAAGATCTGGTGGTAACAAATTCCCTCATCGTTTGCTTGTCTGAAAAGGATCTTGGTTCTCCTTTGTTTATGAAGCTTAGTTTGGCCAAATATGAAATTCTTGGTTGGAATTTCTTTTCTTTAAGAATGCTGAATATAGTCCCCCAATCTCTTCTGGCTTCTAGAGTTTCTTTTGAGAGATCCCCTGTTATCTCATGGACTTCCCTTTGTAGGTGACCTGTCCTTTCTCCCTAGCTGCCTTTAACACTTTTTCTTTCATTTCAACCTTGGAGAATCTGATGATTATGTGTCTTGGAGATGATCTTCTTTTGAAGTATCTTGCAGTGGTTCTCTGCATTTCCTGAATTTTAATGTTGGCCTCTCTAGCTAGGTTTAGGAAGTTCTCATGGATGATATCCTGGAATATGTTTTCCAAGTCGCTTCCATTTTCCCCATCTCTTTCAGGGATGCCAATGAGTAGTAGATTTGGTCTATTTACATCACCCCATATTTCTCCAGAGGTTTTGTTTGCTCTTTTTTATTCTTTTTTCTTCATTCTTATCTGACTGTCTTATTTCAGAAAGCCAGTCTTTAAGCTCTGCAATTATTTTCTAAGCTTGGTCTATTCTGCCATTAATACTTGTGATTGCATTATGAAATTCTTGTAGTGTGTTTTTCATCTTTATCAAGTTGGTCATCTTCTTCTCTATACTGGCTATTTTGTCTGTCAGCTCCTGTATCAGCTTTTGTGTGTGTGATTCTTATCTTCCTTAGATTGGGTTTCATTGTATTCCTGAATCTTGATGATCTTCATTCATATCCATATCCTGAATCGTATTTCTGTCATTTCAGCTATCTCAGCCTGGTTAAGAACTTTTACTTGAAAACTAGTGTGGTTGTTTGGTGGAATGAAGACACCTTGACTTTTTGAGTTGCCAGAGTTTTTGCACTGGTTCTTTCTCATCTTTGTGGACTGATGTTCCTTCAGTCTTTGAGGTTGCTGACCTTGGATGGGTTTTCTTTCTTTTATCCTATTTGATGACCTTGGTGTTTGATTGTGGTTTAAGGTGAGTTCAGTCAACTGGCTTCATTTCTGGAATATTTTAGAGGGCCAAGGCTCAGCTCAGGACTCCTGGACTGCATATTCTAACTCTGGGGGCTGGGATTAGGCCTGGCTTTGCTCTTTGGCTCCTCAAGGGGAAACTGCTGTTTTTGAGGGTCTGAGGTGCTCCCAGACCACAGGTCACAACACTCCAATAAGTGATACCAGCCAAAGCACTTCATAGGGTGGTGACAGTGGGATCCAGCCTCATTTGCATGTGCCAGCAGCAGTGGCAGTGGCAGTGTGGTGGAGTTTGTGTTCATCAGCTGTGGCAGAGTGCTAGCAGTTGCTGGGATGTTGGCCTCCATGTGGAGCAGTGGTGGCACCATGGCTTGGGGATAGAAGGCCCCTGCCAATAATTGTGTGTGTATCCACACTGGTGGTGGTGTTAGCATGGCAGTAGGGCACTGGTGGACACAGGACTGTATTGCCCTCTGTGCACATTCACACAGGTGGCAGTGCCACTCAGGGCAGGGGTGAGTTTGCTGTTCTCCATGTCCAATTTTGCACTGGCAGCAGTGTTGGCACAGGGGCAGGGTGCTGGTGGAGGGAAGGCTCATAGGCTCCATGCCCACCAATCTCCAGTGACAATGGCAATGTTGCAGTGGGGAGGTGGGAGTGGGCAGAGTGCATTAATGCCAACAGCAGTGGCATGGCCAGGTTTATGTGCACAGGTGCAGTGGTGGGGAAGGGAAGGCAAGGTCTGCCCACACACACACAAACCGGCAAAGCAATGTTTGGGTTGGCCATGGGCTACTGCCTGCAGGCAAAGCAACACAAGAGAGGCTACAGTTGAGGGAGTTTGCAGATGGTGTGTATTCACAGGGATCACTCTGCTAGAGCACTCTGCCAGTTAATTGTAGTCCACCAGCACAGGACCTATGGTTCAATCCCCCAGGAGGTACCTGGGGCCTGCACTGCAAGCAGGCATGGCCAGGATGGGCCCCAGGGAAGGCTAGCAGAACCATGGGGTTCTCAGCTCAGACCAGCCTAGTCTGATGGGCAAGACTGCCCTGCAGAGTTAAGGTCCCACAGATCTCACAGGGCTGAAGTTTCCTATGGGAGCAAGCTGAGCCTTGGGGGATGGGTATCCCTGGTGATGCTCCACTACAGAATTTCCCACACCAAACCCTCTGGGCTCTGCACAGTCTGGGGTTCTGCCACTAATACGTCTCCAAGCTGCTCTCCCTGCCAACTCAAGTGTCCACGGTGCTCAAGGGGTCTCCTCCTGCTGCAATTCCAGAGGCCCATGGTGAGAGCAATTTGCCTATTAAACTCACCCCTTTCGCAAGAGTCACTGGAAGCCAGGAAGGAGTCCTGGTGTGCAGTAGCCCCATGCAGGGTTCCCAGCTTCCTCCCCCTTCAGCCCAGCACCTGTGTCTTCCCTCCCTCCACTCTCAATACCTTCTCTCTGAAGATCTGCTAGAAGCGTGCCAGTCTTCCCAATGTCCCAGACCCTCAGTGGGAGATGTTCCTCCTGGCTGCGTCTAGTCAGCCATCTTGGAGCAGCTCTGCATTCACCATTTCTGTTCATATCCCATTGCCAGAATCTAGTCACAAGCCTGCACTTAATGATAAAGGATGTGGGAAATGCAATCTTTAACTGGGTGGCTCTATGCCTACTTAAAACTTAGAGGTTCCATGACCAAAGGAAACAGAAGAGGGTGAACACTGGTCTATAACAAGCAATCGGTCACATCTACTTTTCACACAGTGCTGTGCATATGCAGATATGAGTAAGGATGGGGGTTATTAAGCACTTGTATTTCACCAATGCACAGCTCTGACTTCTTTCTAGTTCCTATCTTGGGACCCCGGCAGGCGTTATTTCTCTGGGAACTCTTTTGCCATTTCTGCTTTGTTGGTGGTCTCCTGCAGTGCCACTGCCTCTGTGAGGTCAGCTTCATGATGGGCTCATGAGATGATGCTTACAGTCATTCCATGATCCACACTAGCAAGTTCACCAGCTAATCAGTGACTCTTAGTTTTGCATCTTTCAATGTGTATCACTGCAGGACTGTCTTTCATCAAGTTCTTAATTCTATTTATCTTTTTTTTTTTACTCAAGCAAAACATAATAAAAGAGCAAAGCCATTTACTGTTAAATGATAGAAAGCTACCTTGTGCCATCAATCAGACTTAGATCCTGTTTCTTTGGCCAGGAGCCAAGGCATAACAATTATAGTTTATTTTTTAAAGTCATCGTTATAAGGTGCATCTGTTGCCCATGATATCCAGTGATAAGGCACTCATAAATCTTGAAAGGCATTGGGGAGGCAAACTCAGCATGTGCCTTCTCATAACTGATGTGAAGGTAATTACTTTCAGTGAGATGTGTTTGTGAGCCTGTGAGCTCAAGAGATTATCTTTCTTCTGAAACCAAGAAGAATGGCAACACTTGATTCTAGAGTTCCTTTTATAACGAATGAAGCATAGCTGATGAGAATGTATTCAGATGTAAAAAAAGCCATGATAAGCAAACCATGACATCCTAATGGTCCAAAATGCCTATTTAAAACACTTGGCACTGACATCTTTCTACCTGTAACAGCTTTCCATGAGTCATTCAAAATTCCCAGGCTGGCACCTTAGTCCTGTCTTTCTGATCAGGAAAATAACCCTAGTCCTCAAGGAAAAACTAAATTGGTTAAGTGTTTGTTTGTTTGTTTGTTCGTTTTTAGACGGAGTCTCGCTCTGTTGCGGAGGCTGGAGTGCAGTGGCACAATCTCGGCTCACTGCAAGCTCCGCCTCCCGGGTTCACGCCATTCTCCTGCCTCAGCCTCCCGAGTAGCTGGGACTACAGGCGCCCACCACCATGCCCAGCTAATTTTTTGTATTTTTAGTACAGATGGGGTTTCACTGTGTTAGCCAGGATGGTCTCGATCTCCTGACCTCGTGATCTACCCACCTCGGCCTCCCAAAGTGCTGGGATTACAATCGTGAGCCACCGCACCCGGCCCTAAATTGGTAAAGTATTTTACCAAAGATTAGGAACATGGGTGTTTCGTTTTGCTAAAATCTATCCAAGATTAATTATTTCCCTCTCATGCCATCTTAAAGAACCAGACAAAATTGGAAATGGCAACAAGCCTTCTCCTTCTCGCTGTCTTAAATCCACCCATTAGATGATTTGAGCACTCCATCTTCACTGGCAAGCATTTAGAAACGAATAGTATTATTGCAGCCTTCCATGCTGCAGCAAGAGTAACAGGAGACAAGCTAAAGCAGTGAAGCAACCATCATAGTCAGGGACTATAGCTCTGCTCGCTGTCTACCAGCAGAACCCCAGCATCTGATGGTCCCTTTCTTGTCTCCATTCAGAAGAAAGAGAACAGCAGGTCACAAGTGCAGACATGCAGGCAAGGTAGGACAGTATGAAGCTAATAATCACTGTAGCTCATCTCTACTGATACGTGTCTTTTTGACTTAGGTAATAAATTATCCAGTTTAAGTGACAAGTGGTTGGGATTGCTAATCGATAATTTTTTTGTTTTTTCAGCTGACACATGGGTGGAAAATGATGATAAATAAACCCCCAGGGTTCGAGGGGAACAGCCAATCATTATTAAAGCTTGGACCTAATCTCAGATGCTAGGCCACAAATCTGAAGCAAATACCAACAGCAGAGTTATTATGGTCAAAGAAATATTTTTATCTCCAGCATTCAAGGCGCTCTTAGGACTGGTGAATTTTGTTTGCTGAAAGACCTCTTCCCACCAAAAGCAGTCGCCAAACTGAAACTCACAAAAATAGTCTTGCACATGCCACACCAGTATCAGAGGCAACATCTTCCTTTACATACTCAGGATCATAAATGGCATTTATAAAAACATATATGAATGTAAGAAAACATAAATGTTATGAATATCCCTGTTAACAAAGGTAGCTCAGTGGATCGGAAAACATTGGTTCCATTTTCACAGAATCCAGATAACGTCACACAAAATGTTCAATGGCCCATCTCTTCATCATCTTTTTGCTTTATAATGTGTTTTAGTTTGGTTTAATTCTGCTTGACAATGAGGATTCATTCTCATTCTCATCTGTGCGCTTGTGCCTGTCATACAGTCTAGAGAGCCGGTGCCTGCCTTTCCCAGAGTTCCCTTCCTCTAGGGTTCTCAGTGCAACCTGACATCTCTCGATGTCAACGAGGTAGACTTGCCTGAGATGTAAAAGCACACACAACACTATTCTCCCTCCTCCCACAGCAATGAACAGAATTGCTGTCTTCAGCAGCCTCTGGGTATTGCCTGTGTCGCCTGTCTCCGCAGTTCTGATGCAAGGTAGCTGGAGTCCACTGTGATTCCCTGCAATATTCTCTCCTGGGCAGCAGCAGCAGCTTCTTGGACCACAGTAACAGTGGCCACCCTGAACAAGAGTGGCAGCCTTCCCTAGCTTTCCCACTCCAGTCCTATCAATAAACACATAACCACGAATATAATCCCTTTCTGCTTGAAATATTTAGAATGCTTTCTATTTTCTGGGCAAACCTGACTAGTATATGATATACCGTCTACTCCCATGACTCAGAAAATGAGCAAGAGAACATTAATGTTTTGTTTTTTAAATCCTCATTTTTAAAAAAGCACAAAGTTAATACCCACTGAAGATGAGTTAATACACACAGTGTTCTTTACACAGAATAATACATGTGCTTTGAATCATCCACTAAAGTTCACATTTTTAAGATGTGAAACCTTGCAATATATATAACACAAATCAGAATCACTGCTGCCCTATTTTAACTCTATTCGTAACATTTATTTTGTGCTTTTTAAACTTCTGACATTTAAAATGTAGTTAATACCGTAAACCCACATGAGTGAGAAAGGAGATTGGGGTTTCCTCATCTGAAAACTTAGTACTTCAGCTCAGTGGTCCTTAGCCTTGGTATATAATATTTCCCTTGGCTGCTTTAAAAAAATGTAGGGGTGGCCAGGCGCAGTGGCTCACACCTGTAATACCAGCACTTTGGGAGGCTGAGGCGAGGGGATTGCCTGAAGTCAGAGTTTGAGACGAGTCTGGCCAACACGGTGAAATCCCGTCTCTACTGAAAATACAAAAATTAGCCGGTCGTGGTGGCAGGCACCTGTAATCCCACCTGCTCTGGAGGCCGAGACAGGAGAATCACTTGAACCCGGGACGTGGGGGTTGCAGTGAGCTGAGATCGCGCCACTGCACTCCAGCCTGGGCAACAGAGTAAGTGTCCATCTAAAAAAAAAAAATGTAGGGATGATTTTAACCCAAGAACAATTAAATCAATCACTGGGGATAATAGGTTGGCCGTTATAAAGGCAGCCCAGGTGTTACTAATGCATTGCCGAGACTGGGAACCACCGCTAACACCAGGGCATCTGCAAAGGACCTTGCCTACCTGGAGACCAGAGGACTTGGACTAAGTGATATCCGCTCCTACCTATCACGTCTACAGTTTTATGGCATATCACTAGCTGCTCTCTTCTAAGGCTACGTAAGATGAAGGGAATAATGAGCATGTTTGCAACTGAGCCAATGTATTGCCAGCTCTAGAAGAAGAGTATCGAGTGAAAACTTTTTTTTTTTTAAGACGGAGTCTCGCTCTGTCGCCAGGCTGGAGTGCAGTGGCGTAATCTCAGCTTACTGCAACCTCTGCCTCCTGGGTTCAAGCAATTCTTCTGCCTCAGCCTCCAGAGTAGCTGGGATTACAGGCCCACGTCACCACCCCCCACTAATTTTTGTATTTTTAATAGAGATGGGGTTTTGTCATATTGGCCAGGCTGGTCTCGAATTCCTGACCTTAAGTGATCTGCCCCCGTCAGCCTCCCAAAATGTTGGGATTACAGGTGTGAGCCACTGCGCCAGGCCAACTTTTTTTTTTTTAACGCCAAAGAAAATATACGCAGGCAACCAAAAACATTGGACTAGAGTTAATGTTAAGCTTAGGATGTCTGCCTTCTGGAAGACTCGCCAGTTAATAATATGCTGTTAGAGAGCCTTAAAATGAGCCTTTTCAAGAGGTTTGGCATAGTTATGATATGAGCCAACTTAGAAATTGTTTAAGACAAAAGGTCATCAAGTGGGACTATCAGAACTGAATTTACAACAGAATTAACTTTTTTTCACTGAGGTTACCTCCGGTTATCCCCCAAAAATGTGACTTTATAAATACATGTGGGTGTTCTAGCTCTGAAGATTATTACTAGACAGCTCTGTTTTGTATTATTAATCTTTTGTTAACTCTAAAACTTACCTGTTTGTTACTCAACAGACAAAATAAATATACACTGCCAATGGGGTAGTTTGTAGTGACCCAAAAGGATTTATTGATCTCTGATATGTTTGTTCTATAAGTGTTTCAAGTTTATATACTGATGGTATACAGCATACTAACTTCATTTTAAAGACCAGAAAATATGTTCAGACTGTAGGTAAAATTTTCCATAAAATTGTACCTTTAAAGACATTGATAAGTAAGCATTGGTAAAATTACAGGTAAGTGAAATTAAAATTATGAACCTACTTAGGCACTGCTTGTGTTTTTATCTGTCATCCTAAAGTACGTAAAAAATCACCCTCCAAAAATCCAATAAACATTTAAGTATAATTATTGAAACAAAAGTTTTCTTTTTGTTTAACTAGAAAGTAATAGGGGCACACTGAATCAACTCGGTTTTTTTTATTTTATTTTTCTCTATTGTGTTGCTCTTTTCAAAGTCATTCATTTCTGATCTTAATTATTGCATTCCTTTTTCTTTGCTATGGTATTTTATTTGTTCCTTCCCGCCCCCCCTCCGCCCCCCACCAGGTCTTTACTGTAAAACTATACCATTAACTTGAGGACTTTCTTCTTGTCAAGTATAAACATTTAATGATATAAATTTCCCCCTATGCACTGCTTTACCTGCATCTCCCAAATTCTTGTATTTGATGTTTCATTTTCATTCAAAATATATTTTAATTTCCCTTGTGACTTTCTTTTTTGCCTATGGGTTGTACAGAAGTGAGTCATTTCATTTCCAAATATTTGGAGGATTTTTCAGACATCTTTCTGCTATTAATTTCCAGTTTGATTCCACTATAGTAACAGAACATTCTTCATATGATTTCAACCCTTTTAAATTTGTTGAGGTTTGTTTTATGTCCCAGTATCTTGGTAAATGTCCCATGAGCCCTTGAAAAGAATGTGTATTCTGCTATTGCTGAATAGAGCATTCAATAAATACCAAATTTGTCAAGTTGCTTAACAATGTAGTTCTAGTCTACATATTTTACTGATTTTCTGTCCATCTGTTCTATTACTGAGAGAGGAATGCTGCAGTCTCTAAGTGTAGGTTTGTCTATTTTTTCTTTCTGTTCTATCAGTTTTGCTTTATGCATTTTAAAGCTCTGTTGTTAGGTGCATACACGTTTAGTCTTTTTCTTCTTGATGAATTGGCCCTTTTACACTATATGTGGTGGCTTTTTATTTCTGAAGATATTCTTTGTTCTGGAATTTCCTGTTATCTAATACTAATAGAGCAACTGTTTGCATGGCATATATGGTATATTTTTCATCCTTTTACTTTTAACCTGTATACTTTTATATTTAATGTGAATTTATTATAGATAGATTATAGTTGATTCTTGCTTTTTTATCTAATTTGATCATCTCTGTGTTTTAGTTGGTATGTTTAGGTCATTTAAATTAAATACAGCTACTGATACAGTTGGATTTTAATGTACTATCTCATATCTTGTTTCTATTTGTTATATTTGTTCTTTGTTCTTTTTCTAACTGATTTTGAATTATTTTTAATGATTCCATTTAATCTCCATTTTTTGTTTTTTTATCATTTATGCTTCTTTTAAAAATATTTTAGTGGTTCCCTAGGTTTATAATATGCACCTTAAAAAATTGTTTTTCGTAGAGACAGAGTCTCACTTTGTTACCCAGGCTGGTCTCAAATTCCTGGCCTCAAGGGATCCTCCTACCTTGGTATCTCAAAGTGCTTGGATTACAGGGATGAGCCACTATGCCTGACCCATGCATCTGTAATTAATGACACCTTACCTATAAATAATAATATACTGCTTCTCATATTGTATCAGTCATGATTCAACTGAGAAACAGAACCAATAAAAGATTTTATGTTTGTGAATATAGGTGTGGAAAAATTTTTATGATATTTGCTATAGGGCCATGATGTTGTTATAACTGTGGGAGCTGCTTAAAGCAATCTCTGCAGGATGTTGTCTTCATGTCTGATGCTGGAGTTTGAAGTCCACAGCACAGACAGGAAGGAGACATGGATGTAGAGGGTAAGACATCAAAGACAAGCTGTATCCCACAGGCAGGAGCCCCAGAAGATGTACTGAAATCCATCAGTTCTTGTTGTTTGTATCTTGATGCTGTCATGGAGCTAAGTACACAAACTTGGCCTAGACGTCAGAGACGCTGAAAGAGTATTCAGGGAAGGTGGAGCTGTTTCAAAGCCAGCCACTGCTCTTAGCCGATGGTATGTGTCAACAGTCAGCAACAGCATGCGTAACCTACAAGACCAAGAATAGATTAACATTACCAGGGAATAGCAACCTTCTGACTGCCTTCAGAGTCATAATAAACTTCCCGAATGCAGGCTTCTTATTTCATTTCTGGTACTGAAGACAGTGCCTAACTTGTAGATAATACTCAGTGACTTGGACACCCTAAAATACATCACATCCTGCATCTAACTAAGTGGTTTTCCATACATCATCTAACTTGTGAGGTAGCCAGTGCAGGTGCACCCATGCTGCTCTTATACAGGAAAGAATGAACAACTCTGAGCAGTTCAGTGATATGTCCAGGACCAGGCAGGCAAGGGGCAGAGCCAAGGCCAGAGTGCAGAACTCATATCTGCTGACTGTTAGGCAAGCAGGGTGATTCTCAAACTCTGTGTACAACAGAATTATCTACAGATCCATCATTTAATTTAATCAAAACCCACATTTCATGGATTTACCCAAGAATTACTGAGTTCAAATCTCTGGAGGTGGAGGCCATGTAATTGTGATATACACCAAAGTTGAGGACCCCTGTGGCAAGACTTTCAGATAAATTGGAAAGATGACTTGGGGCCACATAGTGGACGACTTGGTCTCTGAGATGGTGGCTTTCAGATGTTGGCACATAAGAATGACCTGGGGCCCTCCCACAGTCACCACACTCTGGTTTTCCGGGACAAGCCAGAAATCTGTATCCTAAGAGAAGTGTACCATGTACCACACTCAGTAAACACAGCTCTAAGGAGTTTCTTCCCTTTGGGAAACAGAGGGCTGCTGAATATTTCTTGAGCAAACTTTTTTTTTTGTTCGAGACAGGGTCTCACACTGTCCCCCAGCCTGAAGTACAGTAGTGTGATCACTGCTTACAGCAACCTCAACCTTCCAGGCTCAAGTGATCCTCCCACCTCAGCCTCCCACAGAGCTGGAACTACAGGCATGCACAACCACATCCAGTTATTTTTTTTTTTTTTTTTAGTTTTTGTGGATATGGGGGTCTTGCTATGCTGCCCAGGCTGGTCTCAAACTCCTGGGTTCAAGTGATCCTCCTGCCTCAGCCTCTCAAAGTGCTGGGATTACAGGTGTAAGCCACCACGCCCAACCTATACACATATTTTATATAATGTTTCCATTCTCCAAATATCCAAGCATCTATCATAGAATTTCACAGTGTTAAATGCTTCTAGACATTTTAGTTCTCTCTTAATCTTCATTTGTTTAACCATCAACCAGGTGGGGACACTTTTCATTTTTTTACTGAGGATATAGTCTAGTAATCCAATGGGGAAAAGGGTTCCTCCATAAAAATTATCTTTGTCTCCCTTTGGAGAAAGAGCAAACATTATTATTTTTTAATGCTTTGTTTAAAGTGAATTCAATAATAGTCTTTGTGAAGTCACAGAAAGTACCTTAGAGGCCTCAAAACATTTTGATGATTTCTAAATGTTTTGTTTCTCTCTCTACAGAGAAATCAGATGTTTATACTCACAAAAAAACAATCCTATTGTATTGTTTTTGTCCTTGGAGTATTTTTCCTTGGAGAGGACACATGTACACTGTATGGGGAAAGCCTCAGAGGGTACCATCTTGCTTTCTCAAGTTCATTTTTTTTTTTTTTTTGAGTGCAGTGGTGCGATCTTGGCTCACTGCAACCTCCACCTCCCTGGTTCAAGCAATTCTCCTGCCTCAACTTCCTGAGTAGCTGGGATTACAGGCACCCACCACGATGGCTGGCTAATTTTTTTTTTTGTATTTTTAGTAGAGATGGGGTTTCACCATGTTGGCCAGACTGGTCTCAAACACCTGACTTCAGGCCATCTGCCCACCTCGGCCTCCCAAGTACTGGGATTACAGGCATGAGCCACCGTGCCCAGCCTCTGAAGTTCACTTTCTGAGATTCCTAAGGAATTAATAAAATAAAACCCTGGAAAATAGCCTATGTGTGCCTGAGTGTAAGAAGGAACGCACATGCATGTGCATATGGAGACACAGAATTCCACCAACCCTGCCCTGTCACTCGGTGGGCTCTTGTCACTGTCACACACGTTCAAGAGCTAAGCATGATGCATTCAACGAGAATATGATTAGTCTCGTGCATAAGTCTACAACAATAATGAGCAGCAGACAGAATGACAGTAATAGCAGTTCTTAATTCTCCCATTTATAAGAAAGAAGATTGACTAATGAAGCTGTCTGCCAGTGGCTGCATTGTCTGAATTACTATTAGTTTAGAGGGAATTATGTTAAAAATTTTAATAACATGCAGTATAATAATAACAAAGGTTATTCATCACCAAACAAGCATTTTCAGTGCCAATGAAAGGCCCCTCCACAGCGGCTGCACTGGTGAATCCAAACAGCCTTTTTCTGTGTGATTGCTCTGCACGGGGTCTTTGGCAACAATGAAGAAACTGGTTAGAGAGAACTAAGTTTGTAGACTCACATTTTTCAAATATAGTAATGTAAATATATTTTCCAATCACATTCCATAAGAGATGATTCATGAAATCAGACAAAAGTAAATTATCACAGGCAAGAGTAGAGCTTCCTTCCTCAGATTGGTGTTACCATAAAACATCTTTGGAGCCTTCTCTAAACGATACCAGCTTTTAGCTCATAATTTATGCTCTTCTCTGGAGTTTTTCTCTAGAGTGGAAGCCACAAATTTCTTTACTTGTGATTTAAGATATAGTTTCTCAATTAAATGGCAAGCTTCTACTGCCACCAAAAGAAATGGTAATTCAATCTACCTTAAACACTCTCATTTCTAAAAATGCTCTAAAAGCTTTGGGTAAGATTAGCACAGTTCCTGAGGCAAAAGCTTAACTTTGTTTCATACCTGTTTAAAAACTGGTAAAAAGTCGTATAGATATACTCTACAAGAAAAGTATTATGAAGAGACCCAGTGAGGAATGCTCAACAATGGAGTTAAAGGGGAAGATGTGTAGTTGTTTAACCCTCTATCTAAGATGTGGTCTGTAGCATGTTTGGGCTTATGCTGTTTGGTTGCAAACTCAGGCGTTGAAGAAAGAGGCTGTGATTTATTAAAGCCCGATAACCCCAACCCATGATGTATTGGTTTCCTGGGGCTTCACTAACAAAGTACCACAAAATGGGTGGCTTAATAACAAAACTGTATTTCCTCACAATGCTGGATACCAGAAGTTCAAAGTGCCGGAGGGCTGGTTCCTTCTGAAGGCTTTGAGGGAGAATCCACTCCATGCCTCTCCCCCAGCCTTTGGCATTGTTTGGCTTGTAGATGGTTTTTCCTCTATCTCTTCACATTGTATTCCCTCTATATATGTCTGTCTCTGGGCCCAGATTTCCCCTTCTTATGAGGACACAGTCATATTGGATTAGAGATCACTCTGATGACCTCATCTTAACTTGATCATCTGCACAGATCCTATTTCCGAAGAAAGTCATATTTACACATCATGAGGGTTAGGACTTCAAACACTTTGGAGGGCAAAATTCAACACATAACATATGCTGATGATCTTGTAGTTTACAGATGATGCTGTAACCTTCTGTTTATTTTTTTATTGAAAAACACATGACAAAGTTTATCGTCTTAATGATTTTTAAATGTATAGTACAGTAGTCTTAACTACTAATGTATGTTGTTGTGCAGTTACTCTCCAGAACCTTTTCATCTCTTGTAAAACTGAAACTATGTACCTACGAAACAACCCCCTTTTCCCTCTCCACCCAGCAATCACCGATCCACTTTTTGTTTCTAAAAGTTTGACTGATTTAGATACCTCATAGAGGTGGAATCATGCAGTATTTGCCTTTTTTGTGACTGGTTTATTTCACTTAGCATAATGTCTGTCCTCAAGGTTTGTTCATTCATGTTGTCATGTGTTTAAGAATTTCTTTCTTTTTTAAGATTAAATAATTTTCCATTGTATGTTTATACCACATTTTCTTAATCAATGGGCATTTAGGTTCCTTCCACCTTTTGGCTACTGGGAATAATGCTGCAATGAATATGGGTGAGCAAATACCTCTTTCAGATAATATTTTCAATTCTTTAAAATGTATACTCAGAAGTGAACTGCTGAAAGTTATGAAAATTCTCCATCATACTGCTTCCCATAGTGACCACACCATGTTACATTCCTGTTAACAGTACAAAAGGGTTCCAATTTCTTCACAACCTTGTCAATAGTTGTTATTTTCTATTTTCCTGATGGTAGCCATCCTAACAGGTGTGAGGTGATATCTCATTGCAGTATTCACCTGCACTTCCAGAATGGTTAGTAATGCTGAACATCTTTTCATATGGTTGTTGGCTCTTTGTATGTCTTTTTTGAGAAATGTTTATTCAAGTTCTTTGCCCATTGTTTAATTGGGTTGCTTCTTTGTTTGTTGTTGAATTGTAGGAGTTCTTTATATATTCTGGCTATTAACCCCTTAACAGATGTATGGTTTGCGAACATTTTATCTCATTCCATAGGCTACCTTTTCACTATGTTGATTGTTTCCTTTGACATGCAGAACATTTTTAAGTTTGATATGGTCCAATTTGTCTATTTTTGCTTTTGTTGCCTGTGCTTTTGGTATAATTACCATAAAATCATATCCAAGTTCAATGCCATAAAGTTTTTCCCCTGTGTTTTCTCTTAGAAGGTTTGTATTTTCGGGTCTTACATTTAGGTCTTTACAGGACTTCCCACACTATGTTGAATAGAAGTGGCAAGAATGGGCATCATATGACAAATATCTGCCCAATCCCTGCAGCCCCCATCCCTGGCAACCACCATTCTATTCTCTATCTCTATGAGTTTGACATTTTTAAGTTCCAGATATAAGTGAGATCATGTGGTGTTTGTCTTTCTGTGTCTGGCTTATTTCACTTAGTATAATGTACTCCAGATTATCCCAGATGACAGGATTTCCTGACTGGACAGAATTTGCTTCTTTTTTCAAGACTAAATTACTATTCCCATTGTGTATATATGTTACATTTGCTTTATTCTGTCATTTGATGATGGACACTTAGGTTGATTCCAGACCGTGGCTATTGTGAATAACATGCTGCACTGAACATGGGTGTGCACATACCTTTTTGAGATCCTGATTTCAGTTCCTTTGGCTATATACCAAAAAGTGGGACTGCTGAATTATATGGTATTTCTATTTTTAATTTTTTGAGAATTCTTCATACTGGTCTCCATAATTTCTGTACTAAAATTCTCACCAATGTAACAGAATTCTTTTTTTCCGCATCCTCACCAACACTTACCTTTTATCTTTTTGATAATCGCCATTCTAACTGATGTGAGGTGGTATCTCAATGTAGTTTTAATTTGCATTTCATTAATGGTTAGGGTGATGTTGAGGATTTTTTCAAATACCTGTAGGCCATTTATATGTCTTTTTTTGAGAAATGTCTGTTTAGGTCTTTGCTCCTACATATATAGATATAGATATTGATATAGATATATACATATATCTATATATATAGAGAGAGAGATTTTTTTTTGGAGTCTTGCTCTGTTGCCCAGGCTGGAGTGCAGTGGCGCAATCTTGGCTCACTGCAAGCTCCGCCTCCCAGGTTCACGCCATTCTCCTGCCTCAGCCTCCTGAGTAGCTGGGACTACAGGCGCCCGCCACCATGCCTGGCTAATTTTTTGTATTTTTAGTAGAGACGGGGTTTCATCGTGTTAGCCAGATGGTCTCAATCTCCTGACATCGGGATCCGCCCTCCTCGGCCTCCCAAAGTTCTGGGATTACAGACGTGAGCCGCCACGCCCGGCCCGTCCTTTGCTCCTATTTTTTAATTGGGTTATTTGTTTTCTGGCTATTAAATTGTGTGCTTTTTATATACTCTGTTTATTAACCTCTTATCTTCATGGTTTGCAAATATTTTCTCCCATTCTATAGGGTGCCTCTTCTCTCTCTGATTGTTTCTTTCACTGTGCAGAAGCATTTTATTTTGATGTTATCCCATTTTTTTTTCAGTTAAACAGGAGATATATTGTACAACATGGTGAGTATAGTTAATAACAATGTATTGTATACTTGAAAATTGCTAAGAAAGTAAATTTTAAGTGTTCTCATCACCAAAAATAAGTTTTTGAGGTAATGCACATGTTAATTAGTTTGATTTAGCCATTCCACAATCAGTATATTTTTCAAAACATTGTGTTGTACACCATGAATATATATAATTTTTGTCAATTGAAAAATAAATAATCTTTTTAAAAAATAAAAATCTATAAAATTTTTTAAACAGTGGGCATTCTTGCCTGGCTCCTGATCTTAGAAGGGAAAGAATTCAGTTTTTCACTACTGAATATAATATTAGCTGTAGGCTTGTCATATATGGCCTTTACTATGTTAAAATAATTTCTTTCTCTTTCTAGTTTGTTGAGTGTTTTATGATGCAAGTGTGTTTAATTATGTTAAATTCTTTTTCTGTACCAATTGAGATGATCATATATTTTTTGTCCTTAATGTTGTTAATGTGATATCTTACATTAATTGATTTTCATATGCAAATTATCCTTGCATTCCAGAAATAAATCCCATTTGGCCATCACATATTATCCTTTTAACATATAGTTGAATTTGGCTTGCTAGTATTTTTTTAAGTATTTTTCCATTAATACTCATCAGAGATATTGGCTTGTAGTTTTCTTTCCTTGTATCTTTCTCTGATTTTGATATCAGGATAATGTTGGCCTCATAAAACGAATCAGAAATATTCCTTTCCTTTCAACTTTTTGGAAGAATTTGAGAAAGATTAAAAATTCTTTAAATATTTGGTAAAATTCTCCAGTGAAGCTATCAGGCCCTGGTATTTTCTTTATTGAAAGATTTTTGAATACTGCTTCATTCTCCTTATTTGTTACAGGTCTGGTCAGATTGTCAGTCTTGACAGGCTGTATTCTTCTAGAAATTTTCCATTTCTTATATATTATTCAATTTTTTGCCCATAAGTGTTCATAGTAATTTCTTTTTCCTTTTTCTTTTTTTTGAGAAGGAGTCTCGCTCTGTCACCCAGGCTGGACTGCAGTGGTGCGATCTCGGCTCACTGCAAGCTCTGCCTCCCGGGTGCACGCCATTCTCCTGCCTCAGCCTGCCGAGTAGCTGGGACTACAGGCGCCCGCCACGACTCCTGGCTAATTTTTTGTATTTTTAGTAGAGACGAGGTTTCACTGTGTTAGCCAGGATGGTCTTGATCTCCTGACCTCGTGATCCTCCTGCCTCAGCCTCCCAAAATGCTGGGATTACAGGAGTGAGCTACCGCACCCAGCCCAAGTGTTCATAGTAATTTCTTATGATTCTTTTTATTTCTGTAGTATCAGTTGTAATGTTTTCCCTTTCATTTCTGATCTTTGTTATTTGTGTTTTCTCTCTTTTTTCTTAGTCTAGCTAAGGGTTTGTCAATTTTGTGGATTTTTAAAAAAACGCATTTAAAAGTTTTTTTCTATTATTTTTCCGTTCTCTATTTTATATTTTATTTAGTTCTGCCCTAATTTTTATTATGTTCATTCTTCTGCTAGCTTTAGATTTTCTTTTTTTCTTTTTCTTTTTTTTTGGAGACAGAGTCTCACTCTGTCGCCCAGGCTGGAGTGCAGTGGCACAATCTCGGCTCACTACAAGGTCTGCCTGCCGGGTTCAAGTCATTCTCCTGCCTCAGCCTCCTGAGTAGCTGGGACTACAGGCACCCGCCACCACGCCTGGCTAATTTTTTTGTATTTTTAGTAGAGATGGAGTTTCATCGTGTTAGCCAGGGTGGTCTCGATCTCTTGACCTTGTGATCCACCCACCTCGGCCTCCCAAAGTGCTGGGATTACAGGCATGAGCCACAGTGCCTGGCCAATTTTTTTCTTTTTTATAGGTCCTTGAGGTGTAAAGCTAGGTTGTTAACTGGAGATCTTTCTTCTTTAATGTAAGCATCTGTCGTTATAAACTTTCCTCTTAGTACTGCTTTTGTTGCATCCCATAAGTTTTGATATGTTGTGCATTTATTTTCATTATCCTCAGGATAATTTTATAATTTCCCTTGTGACTTCTCCTTTGACTTCAGTTGTTTAAGAGTGTGTTGTTTGGCTGGGCGCGGTAGCTCACACCTGTAATCCCAGCACTTTGGGAGGCTGAGGCGGGTGGATCATGAGGTCAGGAGATCGAGACCATCCTGGCTAACATGGTGAAATCCCGTCTCTACTGAAAATACAAAAAATTAGTGGGACGTGGTGGCAGGCGCCTGTAGTCCCAGCAACTCGGGAGGCTGAGGCAGGAGAATGGCGTGAATCCGGGAGGCGGAGCTTGCAGTGAGCCGAGATTGCGCCACTGCACTCCAGCCTGGGTGACAGAGCGAGACTTTGTCTCAAAAAAAAAGAGTGTGTTGTTTAATTTCCACCTAATTTTGAATTTTTCGATTTTCCTTCTGCTGTTTATTTCTAGTTTCATTCCATTCCATTGTTGTCAGAAAAGATACTTGCTTGGTCTGATTTCAATATCCTTAAATTTGTTCCATGGACATGGAATATGTTCTATGTGCACTTGAGAAGAATGTATGGTCTGCTGTTGTGTGGAGTGTTCCGCAGGTGTCTGTTAGGTCTAATTGGTCTATAGTGTTGTTCAAGTCCTCTGTGTTCATATTAATCCTCTGTCTGGTTGATATATTCATTATCGAAAATAAGGTATTGAAATCTTCTAATATTATTGTGTTCCTGTCTATTCAATTCTACCATTGTTTGCTTCATATATGTCTGTGTTCTGATGTTAGGTGAATATTTATAATTGTATCTTATTTTATTGATCCTGTTGTCATGTATTGTTTTTCCTTGTCCCTTGTGAAAAGTTTTAGAATTATAGTCTATTTCATCTGATATAAGCATCACAACCTCTGCTCTCTTTTGGTTACCATTTGTATGGAATATCTATTTCCATTTTTTCACATTCATTCTGTGTGTGTCCTTAGAGCTAAAGTGAGTCTTTTGTAGACAGCATACGGTTGGATCTTGTTTCTTTTTCAATCCATTCAGCCATTCTGTGTCTTTTGATTGGAGTGTTTAATTCAATTACATTTAAAGTAATTACTGATAGGAAAGAAATTTTACAATCTCCTGCTGTCTTCTCTTGTGATTTTTTTCAGTGACATGTTTGTATTTCTATCTCATTTTTGTACATCTTTTTAAGATATTTTATTTGTAGTTACCATAGAGATTACATTAAACATCTTATAGTGAACTTGATGAACTTACATGAACTTATAATTATGAACTTAACTTCAATCACACACAAAACTTTACTTCTTTACATGTTACCCTACACACACTTTATGTTCTTGGTGCTATCAATTACATTTTTAACTTTATGTATCAATGTATATAGATTTATAGTTTAGTTATTTTCATGCTTTTATATTTTTAACTACACTAGAATTAAAAATTATTTATGCACCACCATCATAGTATTAGAGGATTCTGTGTTTGCTTAAATATTTACCTTCAGCAAAGAGCTTTATATTTTCATATGATTTCATGTTGCTAGCTAATCTTTTCATTTCATTTTGAAACTCCCTTTAGCTATTCTTCTAAGCCTAATCTAGTGGTGATGAAGTCCCTCAGCTTTTGTTTATTTGGGAAGGTCTGTTTATTTTTGAAGGATAGTTTTACAAGATGTAGTATTTTTGCTAGGCAAGATTTTTTTTTCTTTCAATACTTTGAATATATCATCCCACTCCCTTCTGACCTGTAATGTTTCTGGTGAGAAATCCACTGATAATCTTATGGAAACTCCCTTGTACATGATGAGTCTGTTTTCTCTTGATGTTTTCAAGAATCTCTCTTTGACTTTTGCTTTTGACCAGTTGGTTATTGTGTGTCTTGGTGTGAGACTCTGAGTTCAACTTAATTGGAGTCTTTTGTGATTCCTGAATTTGGATATCCATTTTCTTTCTCAGTTGAGTGGTTTTAAGCCATTATTTCTTCAAATAAACTCTCTTCCCTTTCTTGCTCCCTTCTCCTTCTGGAACTCTCATAATGCCTGTATTGGTCCACTCAGTGGTACCACATAAATCCCACAGACTTTCTTTATTTTCCATCATTCTCTTTTCTATTTGATCCTCTAATTCAATAACTTCAAATGACCTTTCTTTGAGTTCACTGATTCCTTCTTCTGATTGATCACATCTGCTGTTAAATGCTTATAGTGAATATTTCAATTCTGTTATTGCATTATTCAGCTCCATAACTTCTGTTTGGCCTTTATTCTGGTTTCTGTCTCTGTTGATATTCTACATTAGTTTGTGCATTGTTTTCCATTTGTTCTTTTTGTTTGTTTGTTTTTTGTTATTTTGAGATGGAGTCTGGCTCTGTCGCCCAGGCTGGAATGCAGTGGCATGATCTTGGCTCACTGAAAACTCCGCCTCCCGAGTTCACGCCATTCTCCTGCCTCAGCCTCCTGAGTAGCTGGGACTACAGGTGCCTGCCACCATGTCCAGCTAATTTTTTGTATTTTTTAGTAGAGACAGGGTTTCACCATGTTAGCCAGGATGGTCCCGATCTCCTGACCTCATGATCCACCTGCCTCGGCCTCCCAAAGTTCTGGGATTACACGTGTGAGCCACCATGCCTGGCTGTTTTTTTGTTTTTTTGTTTTTTTTTTTTTTTAGATGGAGTTTTGCTCTTGTTGCCTAGGCTGGAATGTAATGGCGTGATCTTGGCTCACTGCAACCTCCAACCTCCACCTCCTGAGTTCAAGCTATTTCCCTGCCTCAGTCTCTTGAGTAGCGAGGACTACAGGCACCTGCCACCACGCCCAGCTAATTTTTGTATTTTTAGTAGAGACGGGGTTTCATCATGTTGGTCAGGCTGATCTCAAACTCCTGACCTCAGGTGATCCACCCACTTCAGTCTCCCAAAGTGATGGGATTACAGGTGTAAGCCACCGTGCCCAGCCTTCCTCTTTGTTTAGTTATATTTCTGTGTTCTCTTGTAATGCATTGAGCTTCTTTAAGGTGATTATTTTGAATTCTTTGTCAAGTAATTCACAGATATCCATTTTTAGGATTATTTTTTCTGGAAGTTTATTTTATTCCTTTGATTGAGTCATGTTTCTATGTTTTTCCATGTGTCTTGTTATTTTTTGCTGTGATGTGTGCATTTAAATATACAGCCACCTCTTCCAATCTTCATAAACTGCCTTCATACAAGGGAAGAGCTTCACCAATCGGCCTGGTTAGAGATTCTGGGGTCCTCCAAAATCTTTTCTGGGGATACATCTTTTCTGAGCTTATGTATCTGATTTCCCAGTTAGAGAGATTTGCAGTTTCTTTTTCAGGAGCTTCTAATCTCTTGCTGACACTGATGTCTGTCTGCAGTACTAGAAATTCTCTGATGTAATATGCAAGCTGCTGAATACCCTATTGTTTTCTGTGACCATAGGCATCCAAAGCATGCAGGTTCTGTCAATGCTCCAAGTCAGGTAAGACAGAACTCTGTTTGTAGGGCAGCCCCCTGACCAAAAAAAAAAAAAAAAAAAAAAAAAAAAATACACTGAATTGCTGGATGCATGTTCCACTCTTCTCTTTTTCTTCCAAACGAGTAGTCATGAGCTGGGCATTTTCTCCCAGTCACTCCAAGCTGTACCAGCTCTTTCATGGTGATAAGGTTCTCTGGGGCCGCATCAAACTGCTGAGCAACCTTTTCTTCTCAGCAGTCCCAAGACATCCATACTATACTGGTTCCTCATCACTGCTTCAAGCCAGGTGAGAGGGAAACCAGTCCCTGAGCAGCCCCCTGAAAAGCTAGAACATTAAACATATGTTCTACTCTTCTCTTTCCCTCTCAAAGGAAAAGGCATGAGCTGGCCTTTTTCTCCTAATTTTGCTGTGTTGTGCCAGCTTGGAGGAGCTACTAAGGTTGAAATAAAATAACCTTTCTTACTCATTATAATGTGGCTGTTCTTGGCTTTGAGCTTGCCTGAGGTGCAATGATTTCTTAACTACTTTCTGGAGTTCTCATAAAGGCTTATTGTTGTCAAGTCAGTTTATCTGTGAGTGAATGAAGCCTGGGGCTTCCTAGTCTATCACTTTACTGACATCACTCTCTACTTTCTGTTTATTTCTTAACAAATTCCCAGATACTTCCTCTGGGCCCAAAAGTACCGAATCCATTTAATCCCATCACTTATTCATTATAAGGAGGAAAGCAAGGAGACCATGTTCTACAAGTCATTTCTGGCACTTTATTTTGCATCCACTCCAATATAATAAGTTCATAGTGAGCAGTGGTGGAGTAAAAACTTTAAAAGATGGAGAGAAAAATCTCTGTGTTAATGAGAGTTTTTCCAATTGACTGTGTTAAAAAAGAACACTGACTTTAGAATCAGACAAATAGCAGACTAGCAATCCCAGCTTGACTACTCAGTATGGAATATGGAGAAATTGAAATTCCCTGAGCCTTAATTTCTTCAGTAAATAATGCTGCCTTCACATAAAGTTGATATGAGTGTTCAATAATGAATGCAAAGTTTCTAGCCTAGAACACAGAACACAGTAGGCATTCACAGTAGGCACTCTCCTCCTCCAGTTAGCCAAATTAGATGAAAAGTATTATAGCAAGGAATAAATCATGTGAATAAGTTCAGTATATACCATATACCTATGGAAAAATATTGTATAATCTAAAGACAAAATTTATATGTGCCTAAACTTTCAAATGATGTCTAGTACCTACTTTACATTTTTATAAACCAGCTGCCACATGCCAGGTAATTTGGTTGTTTGTTCTATGCCAACTAAATACCACAGTGAATTAGTGAGGTTTTTTGTTCTTTTTTTTTTTTGCTTCTCACTAGAAAAGTATTTTAGAATATAAAGCCTGAAAAGAAAGGCCAGATATTTGTAACTGACTGAGCAATACCTGGAAGGTTAAATAGGTACATTGAGGGATGTTGGCCAGAAAGGCTTCAAATGTATACCAAGAGAAAAAAACAAACAAACATAGGTGACATTTTGATATCACCATCAGCTTTACTTTAATAAGTAATAATAAAAGACATGAAGACATTGACATGTCTCTATAAATGTACACAATGCCAAAAGAGTTGGACATTATTTATTAGACTTGAACTGAAAAATATGTAAAGTAAATTTGCGTATTGATTCAATCTACCATTGACTTTCAATATGATTTTTAAAATCTCAAAGAAATATTTCCAATTTGAATAATTAATACAATTCATCCTTCAGATCCTGATAGTCATTTAAAGTACCATTAGCAATACCTGTCTACTCACTCCTACCAATTAAGTGGCAAAAAATAAGCCAGAGTCTAAATACCCAGGAATTTTTAAAACTCACTTCAAAATAAATCATCTCATTAAGGCTTTGCACTGCCTATTAAAGGCAGTAATGTAGATATTCAGCAGAAAATGTAACATGGAAAAGGGGCTGAGTCTGACTATACGGTAAAAACCCGTTATTAGAAAACTCTGCAATTAGCTCTCTTCATTAAGATCTGCTGGCTGGGCCGGGCGCGGTGGCTCACGCCTGTAATCCCAGCACTTTGGGAGGCCGAGGCGGGCGGATCACGAGGTCAGGAAATCGAGACCATCCCGGCTAAAACGGTGAAACCCCGTCTCTACTAAAAATACAAAAAATTAGCCGGGCGTAGTGGCGGGCGCCTGTAGTCCCAGCTACTTGGGAGGCTGAGGCAGGAGAATGGCGTGAACCCGGGAGGCGGAGCTTGCAGTGAGCCGAGATCGAGATCCGGCCACTGCACTCCAGCCTGGGCGACAGAGCGAGACTCCGTCTCAAAAAAAAAATAAAATAAAATAAAAAATAAAATTAAAAAAAAGATCTGCTGGCTGATGGACCAAACACAAAAAAGCAAACAGGTTTTACAGGACTTAGTGCAAATTAATGACAGTTTATATTGCAATTTATTTTGCCCTAGATAACTTCCTTTGCAAAGATGTCAGAGAAAAGGGAGAAGGCAGTATTAACAGACAAATTACAAAATGTGTTACAAGTAACATACAAATATGTGCAAAAGTTCTTTCATTTATTGGTTTATTCACCTTTATGCAACAATTATTGAGCACTTACTATGTGCCAGGAAAGACTTCACAGGACAAGATCTCATGGACAATATATCCTAGTGGGCAAGACAGAAAATAACAGATAAGTAAATATATAAAATAATTTTAAATAGTGATGTATGCTATGAAGAAGATAATCTTATGTTACTGTCCTATCTTGGTAATTTAGCAGTCTCAAACTTTATGAAGCAGGTATAAAGAAAGGCTAACTTACGTGCTTTCATCTGAATCATTACATCAAATGATTGAACCAAGAAAAAGCCTTCCTCAGTTGGCTTCTTCATGAAAGTGACCACATCCTCCTTTCATGGAAACCGTTGGACTCACTCACTGACAGGATTTGACTTATCCTTCATGAATGTTGAAAATAAAATTACAGTTTTTTTGAAGTTTAGGAAACAAAAAAGAGTTTATTCAAGAAATAATGCCTGTGATAAAAAGAGCTCATTTGCACCATTTCTACCTGATTCTGAGTAGGCTAGTTAATGTTTTAGAAATTGCATTTGGGACTCAAGCAAAGCCTTTTGAAATTTAATGTTCTGTATATTCATAAAAGCATAATCAGATGTGTATTATTATTAAAAGTTCCTCTCATGGTTTTCATTTATGGTAAACGGCAATATGAAAGGACATAAAGAATACAAATTGATAAAAAATTTCCCTTAAAAAAAAAAGATTTTAGGATCCCCTTCCTCCTGCAAGACAAGTAGTTTCTGATGAGATTTGATTGACACTATGAGGTCTATGCACCTGGGTTGATATTCGTGTCTGTTTTTGCAATTAGAATACGTATTAGTGCTGACAAGCCTGGAAATTCTTCAGCACTTTAAAAGAAGCACAATTTTAGTCTTGCAAAAAACCTAATTATAATAAACAAAAAAATTATAGCTCTGATCATAGTAACCAGGTTGCAAACTCCTACCCAATAGTAGGAGTTTCAAACAACCTTCATTTAAGTTATTGTATTCACTTCACAGAGGAAAGAAATAGGGCAATTGAGCATTAAACAGTGTTGCAAATATGACTGGAAAACCTCCACCTGATTCAAGGGAAGTGTCTGTCCTCGGTGAAATGGGAAGATTGGTCAGGGGCCTATCCCCCTCTTGGAGGTAAATGAGGCCAAGTATTAATATTATTCTAAGCAGGTGGAGGTCTTACTATATTAGTCGGATAAATTCTAAAAATTAGGTTTATGCTTTAATGAGCTGCAGAAGGTTTGATTTTTTTAATGCTTCAACTGATCTGAATTCCTAACTCACAATACAGAATGGTCTTATGAAATGTCCCTATTCATAAAAGGTGCGTATTTCAATTTCTAGACAATTCATTAGACATTCTTCTCTGTTTAATCCATAAAAATAAAGCCTATTTCATCATGATTTGGATAATTTTGCAAAGGACGATGAGGCATCCCAGAGCTGGTTGCTTGCATAAACTGTTTTCATTTTCATGAATTTGTAAATAAATTACTGCCTGAACAACCAGACTTTTATAAGTCTTCAGGGTAGCTGTATTTAAAAAATTATACATAGTACTCTGACAGTACATTTCTCTAAAGGAAGTCAGAAAATTGTTCAAAAAGTATTTGGATTCAGCTTCTAGGACGTATTTAAGGTAGCAAACCTGCCCACCACCAGAGTATGAAGTAAAACAAGGCTAAGAGTGATAGAAGCATTTTTTTTTCTTTGAGATGGAGTTTTGCTCTTGTTGCTCAGGCTGGAGTACAATGGCACGAAGTTGGCTCACTGCAACCTCCAACTACTGGGTTCAAGACATTCTCTTGCCTCAGCCTCCCAAATAGCTGGGATTACAGGTGCCCACCACCATGCCCAGCTAATTTTTGTATTTTTGGTAGAGACGGGGTTTCACCATGTTGGCCAGGCTGGTCTCAAACTCCTGACCTCAGGTGATCCACCTGCCTTGGCCTCCCAAAGTGCTTGGATTACAGGTGTAAGCCACCACCCCCTGCCAATAGAAGCATTTTTTAACATGAGAGTCATTTAAAATTGCATGAGATCCTACCACGTAACAAACGCTGCATGCGTGCACTTTATGGGTGCATTCACATATGGCACCTCTTCCAAAGGGCATGCGATTTGGATTCCATGAAATTGAATGTTGCAAACTCATCAAAATGCAACCTTTAAAACTAGTTTTCCAAATGAAGAAACATCATAATACAATTTTATAGGCCGATGTGGAAAGGCTGTGTTAAAGACTGAATGCCTGCTCTCTGACACGTTCATCTTGTCAAGGCTTCCCAAAGGCACTGCAGACTTTGCAGCTGTATTAGCAGTGATTCCTTCGTTTGGAATGCCTGTTCCCATGCGCACACACTCTTGCTGCAGCCACATCATATTTAAAATCTGCCCTGATCCTCCTGGTTGACATCAATGTTGTCACTCCTCTTCATTTTCATAGCATTAAGCCCTATTTTGTACTTAACAGAAAGTAAGTTCGGCACAGAGGGAAGAGAATTGGGCCTATTTTGTTCATATCCCATCTCTGGAGCTGAGCATAGTGACAGGTACACAGAAAGCTCTCATCTGGTATTTTGAATACATTATAACATTTTCCCAGTCTTTTCAACATATTGTCTCAGCACTGGTGGGGGAAAAATGCTGCAAAGGCCATGCTTTTCCAGCCTAAATCTTCCCCAGGACTGGCACAGTGAGTGGCACATAGTAGGGGTATTAGTCCCTGTGGCTGCTTAACAAAGTATCACAGCTGGGCTGCTTAAAATAACAGAAATTTATACTTTCATAGTTCTAGAGGCCAGAATTCCAAAATCAATGTGTTGGCAAGACCACACTTTTCCTGGAGTCTACGGGGGTGGACTGGTTCTTTGCCCCTCCCATCTTCTGTTGGCGTCCCTAACTTGTGGCTGCATTACTGCGGTCTCTGCCTCCATGGGCACTTAAGTTCCTCCTCTCCTTTCTGTGCTTTCTCCCTTTGCCTCTCTTTTATAAGGACACTTGTGATCATAATTCAAGGCCACCTGAATAAAGAAGGTTCGTCCCCTCATGCCAAGATCCCTAACTTAATCACGTCTACAAAGACTCTTTTGCCAAACAAGGGAACACTTCCCAGTCCCAGGGATTAGAATCTGAGATCTTTGGATGACCATCTCTCAATCTACTACGGTAGACGTGGAGTAAGTACACGGAGTTTTACCAGTACAAGCACAGTGATACATGATCTGTTGGTTGATTCCATATATCTTGTTTTTGATGCTGTTTGCCAAAAAATATCAAAAGATCACAGCTCTTCTGCAAGGCAGTCATTTAAGCAGAGAAATAAATCCACTGTAACGGTGTTATTTCTCACTGTTGTTTTCTTAGCTGAGTGGCTGGTTTCTTAAGCATAGCCACAGCATCCGATGAACCCTAGAATTTCTGTTGCATTTGCAATCATCTCTCCAGTCACTTGGGTCCTTCTGCACTCGCTTCCTGCTCTGACTTATGTGGCACCATTCCACCATGTGGCAGGACTCCCCATCTTTTTTGTGGCACTGACACGATAGGACACTACACATTTCTAACCTTTATTTTCAACAGATTGTTCCCTCACTCAGCATAAAATTTCATCCAGCATTCTCATCACACGGTGAGGGTTCACTGATTTCAATGGTGTATGAAAATGCAGCTCTGGGCTGGGTGCGATCCGAGCACTTTGGGAGGCCGAGGCGGGTAGATCACGAGGTCAGGAGATCGAGACCATCCTGGCTAACACGGTGAAACCCCGTGTCTACTAAAAATACAAAAAATTAGCCGGGCGTGGTGGCGGGCGCCTGCAGTCCCAGCTACTCAGGAGGCTGAGGCAGGAGAATGGCGTGAACTCAGGAGGCAGAGCTTGCAGTGAGCCGAGATCGTGCCACTGCACTCCAGCCTGGGAGACAGAGCAAGACTTCATCTCAAAACAACAACAACAACAACAACAACAACAACAATGACAAAAGACTCTCTGTTGTATGTGGCGTCAGAGACAGAAGCAGATGGCTAAACTGGCCTGTGCTGGGATCCCAGCACTAAAAGCCAGATGGTGTGGATTTCAGTCAGATCTTTCATAACCAACAAATTTGAGAAACAGATGAGGCAGGGCCAAGAACTACTAATTTTTTCATTTTATAAATAAGCACCATTAAGCTTTTCTTCTATAAAGCCTCTTGATCTAACCACTAACTAAGCTATTTGTCTGAAATCCTCAAGTCAATGTAGTAAATAAGCATTTACTAAATTTAAATTTAATAAAATAAGCATTTTTTTTCCTCTTTTGGCCAATTTAGTTCTTTAGAAGTTGGGTTAACAGAAGCCAACTTCACCACCGTCAAAACATATGTTTGCTTTTACATAAGTAGAGGCATGCTGTTACTTCTTTTTAAAAATAGTTTAGGCCAGGCGCAGTGGCTCACGCCTGTAATCCTAGCACTTTGGGAGGCTGAGGCGGGCAGGTCACGAGGTCAAGAGATTGAGACCATCCTGGCCAACATGGTGAAACCCTGTCTCTACTAAAATTACAAAAATTAGCTGGGTGTGGTGGCGCAGGTGTGTAGTCCCAGCTACTCGGGAGGCTGTGGCAGAAGAATCTCTTGAACCCAAGGAGGTGGAGGTTGCAGTGAGCCGAGATTGCGCCACTGCACTCCAGCTTGGCAACAGAGCAAGATTCTGGCTCAAAAAAAAAAAAAGTTTAGTGTAGAAAATAGTACTTTCAGATTGGGCTACCAGTGTACCATGCATAAATGAAAAGTGTCCTGTGTCATTAAACAGATGCATTTAAAAAAAGAATTTTTTTACAGGTCCACAAACAAGTTTGAAATTAGAAGGAAATTGTGAGCATTCAAATAATAAAGTGGCTTAATACAATCCAAATAAGCTGAAATGTTCAATTACAGAGTATAATATAGTAAAAATATAGATCCATGCTCTCTCAGTGCAAGCTGTCATCCCATGTCACAGCATGCACTATACGCCCTCTTCTTTTCTCTTACTAATATCTTTAAAGCTGCACTTGCACCCTTACCCTCACACGATCCTTCCTTACTTGCATGCTTTTTTTTTTTTGAGACGGAGTCTCGCTCTGTCGCCCAGGCTGGAGTGCAGTGGCGCGATCTCCTCTCACTGCAAGCTCTGCCCCCCAGGTTCATGCCATTCTCCTGCCTCAGCCTCCCGAGTAGCTGGGACTACAGGCGCCTGTGACCATGCCTGGCTAATTTTTTTGTATTTTTAGTTGAGATGGGGTTTCACCATGTTAGCCAGGATGGTCGCGATCTCCTGACCTCGCGATCCGCCCACCTCAGCCTCCCAAAGTGCTGGGATTACAGGCGTGAGCCACCGCACCCGGCCTGCATGCATTTTTAAACTGCATTCAACTCTTTAAATTCTTTTTAAATTTTATTTTTTAATTGACAAATAATACTAGAGGCAATGGTAACCATGAATTCTGAAAGAGATGACTGTTTTATTAAGAGCTTTTATTATTTTATTTTTGATCAACATAAAATAATTATACATCTCTATGGGTTACATAGGGATGTTTTGATACATACAATACAACCTTACTGAATTGTTTATCACATCTAATGGATTTTTGGCAGAGTGTTTAAGTTCTTCTATATATAAGATTATGTTGCCAGCAAATAGGGACAATTTGACTTCCACCTTTCCAATTTGAATAGGCTTTATTTCTTTTTCTTGCCTAATCACCTGCATAAGTTGTTATTGGATACCCACTAGATACTAGGCTGTTTGTTCTATGCTAGATGCTATAAGAATAGAAATATGAAAAAAAAATACCTACCACAAGGAATTTTAGTCCCATGGGCCAGCCCTAAGGCAGAGAGCTAGCTATGAGAGATATTGTGAATGGTACTAAGTGGCCAAGGAACACAGAGAACAGAGATGTGAATTCACATTCACAAGGGCTGGAGGAGGAAAGAGGCAACTGGTAGGTACGTGGCATTTCTAGGCCATTTGGTGTTGGTTAGGCTTTGAGTAGACAGATAAGAAAATAAACGGGTTTTCAGTTGGGAGAACGGTATACCCACAGTATGAAGGCAGAAAGACTCGAAGGTTGTCTACCAAACAGCTTTCAGACCAGTGTGATCCAGGAGACTGGGAGAACTCTCTGAAAAAAAAAAAAAAGAAAGAAAGAAACAGCATAAGTCGGATAACAAGGACCAGACTAAGGTTGGAAGTTTATTCATTAGACCCTAGAGACCCATCAAAATGTTTTGAGCAGCGTTATATTAGATGGGTATCAAATACTTCTGGAATCCATTGGTACTGGATTCATTATATTTTAACCACTCCACCAGGCCTACCATTAGTTACAACATGAGAAGCTAAACGTTATATTCTAACCAACACTTTATCTCCAGTTTTTGCAGAGAAAGCAGTCTGAGCTGCTGCTTTGACTCCACTCAGTAGTTTGTGATTAGTCTGAAATGCTCTACTGCACAGAGCAGGGTCAAGCACATTTCATACACTTGTTTAACAAGTAGCACTCAGGAAGTATATTTTCTGATCCACTTCATAGTATCACAATGCAAGCCGAAAACAATGACTGAAGATGGCAAGATAAAACTATTTGTAATGGAAGCAAATATAAGTTATCCACTTTTATTATTCAGTCCTCTGTTTGGATGGAACACATGAATATTAAAATGGCTGTATTTCATTCCTTTTCAAAAGTAGTAAGAGAAGGATAATCATATGCAATAAAGCATTTTCGGCCTGGGTCTTTATGACAGCTCTAAATGCCTGCCACATTTTAAATACCACAGGTGCAAAACAAATGTATAAATTCCCTGTTACATAATTTTCCATTTATATTGTAGAGAAACAAAATACAGTGTAATGGGGAATTTAATTCTCTGAATAGAAATTATATAATCTCAGCAAGAAAATTCAATAACAGCTTCTACACAGATGGCAAAAATCTGCTGAAAGATCCCAAGAGTAATGGAAGACAACTGGAATTTGCATATAAGATTGGATATCACCTTTCCAAAGCCGTGTCAATAATTTAGTTCCAATGTTTTCTGCGTGATTCACTAATTTTATAATTATAATTTTTGGCAGAATATGGGCTACTCAAAATGGTCCAAATGCAAAAAGTAGCTTTAAGCAGAACATGAAGTAATCTATCATCTTTTTATAAGTAAATAAATAATAATCACATTTGCTATTATTCATATGCTTTGCAAGTTTAGTATTTCTTTGTGTCCTGTAACATGTTCCCTTCAAAGTAATGGAAGATGGAAAATAACAACAATGAAAAGCTGGAACGTGCTCAAAATTTTGACACATCAGCAACACCACCAGTTAAATCCACATACTGCACTAAGATATACAGTTTAGTGAACAGTTGTCAGGCAAATCTATTGTGTGAGTGAACCAGCCAATGTGTTCAGCACTCTTATAACAACTAGTTTAGAACATTTTTTGATTGAGTAACCTGAAGACTCTAGGAGACTGAGAAGTGTGCAGAGACCCAGCCAGTAAAGATCTGGGACAGAAATTAAGAACGTTAGACTCCAGGTTGAGTGTTCGCTCCACGACACAGCAGAAGGGAATTGGAAAGACCCTTGTTTTTATAGTATCTTCATTGTCATAGGCTTCCTAAGAAGAAGAGTTCTAGGGGTAAAAGTCACCAAACGCAGAGGGAAAGTAAGTTTTTTTTCAGTGCTTTTTAATTAGCAAACTCAATAATGTTGGCAAATACATATATTCATCCCCTGAGCTGAGTCAACACAATCTAAATGAAAGAGAATCTGGGGGAGCATAAAGGAGGGAGGCTGTGAATTAACCAGCCTGGGGAAGCCTCAGACATCACTGATCAAGGTGGCCTAAGCATCTCCTGCATCCCAGCACATGTTTGGCTGTGGAGACACACTGTTTCAGAAGGCATACACACAACCACCAACAAAAACAGGTCTAGGTGGGTATTTTGCAGGGGAGACTCACAGGGCTTTCCTGCAGTACCATCTCCTCTCTTTATAAAAATTTAGAATCTTGTTCTGATTAGTCCAAACCCACAACCATGCCCTTCTCCCATTTTATCTGTTTCCCCCCCTATTTGGAAATAAATCTTATGGTTTAAATTACTTTGACAGGTAAATGCCAGTCCAGCATCAGCAAACCTGGTGGGTTGCCATAAGCTACTGGCAAAGTGCAACCACCAGGGGCGCCCGAAACCTGTGGAGGCGGAGATTGTGAGTTTGTCAAAAACAAGGACACCCTTAAAGCAGGCGCATTGCTGGGTGTGAAGCAGGGGAGGGGGCTTTAAAAAGGCCGTACCTTGGTCGGGCTCGGTGTTCACACCTGTAATCCTAGCACTTTGGGAGGCCGAGGCGGGCGGATCACAAGGTCAGGAGATAGAGACCATCCTGGCTAACACGGTGAAACCCCGTCTCTACCAAAAATACAAAAAATCAGCGGGGTGTGGTGGCGGGCGCCTGTAGTCCCAGCTACTCAGGAGACTGAGGCAGGAGAATGGCGTGAACCCAGGAGGTGGAGCTTGCAGTGAGCCAAGAATCGCGCCACTGCAGTACAGCCTGGGCGATAGAGCAAGACTCCGTCTCAAAAAAAAAAAAAAAAAAAAAAAAAAATCCTGTCCTCTATATATTGTCTCTTTTGGGATTCCACGAAGATGACATGCTAGTGTGGGACTGGGTCTCACCTCTCACCTGAAACTGGGAGCTGGAGGTCAATAGTCGTAACCTGGAAGTGCTGGCTGGCAAGGTTTTGGAGCAGGCTCATATAAGGGTGGTTGGAAGGTGCACTTCTTGAGGGTACGGCTGCTACAAAAAAAAATACAATAAAATGCAATGCAATATTTGGGACATACTTATACTAATTAACAGTATTTGTCATTTATCTAAAATCCAAATTTAACTGAGTGTCTTAAATATTCATTTTCTAAATCTTGCAACCCTACTTGTGGTAGAGTGGGGAGGAGTCACAAAAAAAGGAGGTTAAAAAGTCTCCGGGTCTGCTGTGTCGGAGAAACAGAGGTTAATACAGCAAGAGTCTGGGCTGGAAGTGGAGAAGTGGCTGAGATAAGAAGGCCCCTTACCTGACTGCCCTGGATTTAGGGGAATGGATGCTTCACAGTCTGCCCTGGGCATAAGAGTCAAGCAACATTCCTATGATAACCTGAAGAGTTCCATTTTTAACATACTGAATTTTGGATGGTGCAATTAATATCTGTTACACAGTTACCACATTGCAGTGTATCGATCATTTGCACTAATATCTAATTAAATTGTAAGTTCTGGCATTTTATCTTTCCATACCCATATCCTTGGAAAATGCTAGGTACATATTTGTGCTTGCTGATTTTTGAAAAAAAATTCAAAAAATTTTTTAACACATTTACTAATTAACCATAAACTCAGTATCAACCAGTGCTAAAACAGGGAAGAGGGCATGCAGCTACCTGGATATGGCACACAGCTACCTGAACAGACAATATTACAGGAAAGGCAATATACATGGAAAGTCTCTTCTCTCTGCACAAAAACGTATCTCAGAAAATAGTTTTTTCCCTGAGTTCCTGGCTCTGACATTAACAAAGGCAGACTGAGGGTGTCCCAGGTGACATACAGGATGGTGGGGGCTACTGACGCCTTTTCATGTGTAGAAAGATTAAAAGAAGGAAAGACAGGCCGGGCGTGGTGGCTCACGCCTGTAATCCCAGCGCTTTGGGAGGCCGAGGTGGGTGGATCACGAAGTCAGGAGATGGAGACCATCCTGGCTAACATGGTGAAACCCCATCTCTACTAAAAATATGAAAAAATTAGCCGAGCGTGGTGGCGGGCACCTGTAGTCCCAGCTACTCGGGAGGCTAAGGCAGGAGAATGGCATGAACCCGGGAGGCAGAGCTTGCAGTGAGCCAAGATCGTGCCACTGCACTCCAGCCTGGGCGACAGAGGGAGACTCCGTCTCAAAAAAAAAAAAAAGGAAGGAAAGAGAGAAGACAGGAATTAGGAGGTCGTTAGAGACTGTGACATTCACCTGCCAGATCCAGATCCAGGTGAATCTGACTCTTTTTCCAGAAGCCCAGTTTTAAGCATTCAAAGTGCCCAATAATGCAAGACAGCCTCGCAACGGTAACGGGGACCAGGGCTCCTGGCCACTGGAAAAGCTACAGCTGATTCTAGGGGAACAGCCAACAGAGATGTAATACATACCTGCATTTGGGAGGAAGCGAGGACCAGGCATCATTAAAGGCTTGTCTACATTTAAGTGTCTGTGGTTCCAGATGAACCTGTCCCAATGCTTCCCTCACCATTCTCTCTTCCTCAAATCAAGATGGACATAAAACTGAATCACCTCATTACTTACCAAACATTACAGTGAAAGTCTCACTCACCCTCATAATTACTTAAAAAAACCTGCACTTACATGATTCTGAATGGGCAGATAAAAACATTGTATGTTCTGGCTTTATCAGAGGACTGAGGTTAAATGTGACAAGAACAAGCTCAGCTCTGCCCGGGGGATGAAGGGCCTGCCTGTCCCCCACACCCCGGGGATGTGGACTCCCAAAGGTATTCAGACACCTCTATCGCTCCCTGCTGTTCAGGGACCAGTGAATCTTGCTTGTGTCCTGCCTTAATTCCACTTACGACTTTTCTGACGATTGGACTTTATCATCTTTACATTTGCATCACTGCATCTGTGTATATGTCTGTAATATTTTTATGTTTCTCAAAACACTTTATGTTGTTTTTATTTATTCTAAAAATCGTAAGTGGAACTATAACAGAGTAATGATGCAAATTTCACTCACAATTGAAGATTTAAAAATCCAAGCCTCGGTTTTCTTTTCTTTTCTTTTTTTTTTTTTTTTTGACATGGAGTCTTGCTCTTGTCGCCCAGGCTGGAGTGCAATGGCGCGATCTCGGCTCACCACAACCTCTGCCTCCTGGTTTCAAGCGATTCTTCCGCCTCAGCCTCCCAAGTAGCTGAGATTACAAGCGCCTGCCACTACGCCCGGTTAATTTTTGTATTTTAATAGAGACGGGGTTTCACCATGTTGGTCAGGCTGGTCTCAAACTCCTGACCTCAGGTGATCCGCCCACCTCAGCCTCCCAAAGTGCTGGGATTACAGGTGTGAGCCACCGTGCCCGGCTTGGGTTTTCTTTCTTCTTTCCCACAAAGGTCAGTAGGAAACTGTTTGCAACAGGAAATGCCCTGGTCTCCAGGTGCTGCTCCAAGAATTGGCTGACCCATTGCCATGTGTCATTCAAGTGACAGTGTTGAGGGACTAAATATGTCATTCCACGGTTAAAGTTGGCTACAACAAATTTGGCAAGAATTAAAGTGTAAACATTTCGGGGAACATTGTACAATTAAAGCATCAGAAATAAATGGCAAAACAGTTTGCTGCTCCTATAGTCAACCAAATGAAAGTTTAAAACAATAAAGAAACATTAAAGTTTCAGGCCAGGTCACTACTATTAAAGGTTTGTCCATTTCACTTAGAACTCAGTTTCTCTAGCTCAGTATTATTGATATTTTGTACCTGATAATTTTTTTGTAGCAGGGGACTGACTGTCCTGAGTGTAGTAGGACTTTGCAGGCCCTCACCTCTGTCAACAAGATGCCATTTGACTTTGATGAAAATAGGCTACCATGGCCGCAGTTGCCCTTGGATTCCAAGGCAGCGGAACATGAGCAAAAGCTTGGAGCCCTGTCACTTGAGATGGTCCTCAGTGATAAAGAAACAAATTATTTCTGGCCAGGCGCGGTGGCTCACGCCTGTAATCTCAGCACTTTGGGAGGCCGAGGCGGGTGGATCACGAGGTCAAGAGATGGAGACCATCCTGGCCAACAGGGTGAAACCCCGTCTCTACTAAAAACACAAAAATTAGCTGGGTGTGGTGGCGTGTGGCTGTAGTCCCAGCTACGCAGGAGGCTGAGGCAGGAGAATGGCGTGAACCCGGGAGGTGGAGGTTGCAGTGAGCTGAGATTGCACCACTGCACTCCAGCCTGGGCGACAGAGACTCTGTCTCAAAATAAATAAATAAATAATAATGGTAAATTCTATCATGTATATTTTACAACTTTTACAAAGGCATAAAACTTCATAAGAAAATACCTTCTTTGGAGGCAACCTCTGCAAAAGACAATGTGGCTTTGAGGGAACAGGGCATGGTACTGCTGAGACCCAGCAGCGGTGCCAGTGGCCAGGCTCCTGCAAGCCCATCTGTACCCCGATCCCAGCTCTGCCAGCCCGGGGCTCTGCTCTGGGCTCCCCACCAGGGCTGCAAATTGATAAAGCAGCTCTACACATATGAAAATATCTAAGAAACATAAATGATTCTCTAACTTGTATATTATGAATAATTATCCCAAAAGAGCATTTCCTCTTATGTGTGACAGATGTCAGACCATCAATATAGGAGTGTATTAGGGTTCTCTAAAGAAAGGGACCCAATAGAGGAGATATAGATGTATATCGGGTCCCAGAGATAAATACACAAATATTTGTATGTGTACATATGTATATATACAGGAATCAGTTCACGGGATTCTGGAGGCTGCGAAGTTCCATAATCTGCCAACTGAAAGCTGGAAAATCAGGAAAGCCCACAGTGCAATTAAATCTGAGTCCAAAGGCCTGAGAATTAGAGCACTGCTGTCAGAGGGCAGGAGAAGAGAGATGTCCCAGGCCAAATACCAACAAGGGATTCCCCTTTCTCCGCCTTTTTGTTCTACTTGGGCCCTCAGTGGTTCGGATGATATCTGCCCACATTCGTGAGGGTGATCTTCTTTACCGAGTCCACCAATTCAAATGCTCATCTCTTCCAAATCACACTCACAGACACACCCAGAAAGAGTGTTTGGCCAGCTGTGTGGGCATTCCGTAGCCCAGTCAGGTTAACAGATAAAAGTCACCATTATGAGGGGAAAGAGCAAGTGGGGACGTATGGACTATGCACCCTCACCTTCCCAAAGTGGGGACTATCAAAAGTAGATTGAGTTAATCATGCATAATGCAAAATGTAAATCAAGGCTCTGCTTGTTTCATGATAGTATGAAAGATAGTATAAAAGTTACAGTTTTGGCCGGGCGCGGTGGCTCACGCCTGTAATCCCAGCACTTTGGGAGGCCGAGGCGAGTGGATCATGAGGTCAGGAGATCGAGACCATCCTGGCTAACAAGGTGAAACCCCGTCTCTACTAAAAATACAAAAAATTAGCCGGGCGCGGTGGCGGGCGCCTGTAGTCCCAGCTACTCGGGAGGCTGAGGCAGGAGAATGGCATGAACCCGGGAAGCGGAGCTTGCAGTGAACCGAGATTGCGCCACTGCAGTCCGCAGTCCAGCCTGGGCGACAGAGCGAGACTCCGTCTCAAAAAAAAAAAAAAAAAAAAGTTACAGTTTTTAAAGATAAAACAAACACAAAGTAAACAACAAACAAACAAAGCTCAGAGGTTGGAAAGTTTTGTATGAACCAGAATTAGTAGAACTTGTCCTAAACATGAACTCCGGACCTCCTCATAAGTAACTTAGTCACGCAACAACTGTGCTGAAGATGAACAAGCATAAATGTTGAGAATTGTTTGGTTTTCAAATGCAGAATCAAATTAGCTGTAAAGTCATTTCATTATGTAAGCTACGCTGCGTCTCTCCCTATGGTAGTGTATATATGATATTATGGTAAAAGGAAATGGAATAGAGCAGCCTTAAAACCCTTGATTGAATCCAACAAGTCTGGGACAATTACCTCATTCCTCAAATATTTTATTTAATGTCCTGGTGGTATTCACACTCTCATCCCCTAATGTAATTCTGTTTTATAATCAGTATTATCAATGATAAATTGGTATCTTTAATCATAATGAGAATTGTAGGCAAATCTTCTCCCTGCTTCAATAAGAAATCTAATTTTTCTTTTAGAAAAGAAAGGATGTTTTCCTCTAGTGATACATATAACTACACTTCTTATTAAATAATTTCAGCTCTCTTGTGTTTTCTAAAGCTTTCATTTTGCAGTTCAATAGTACTTAAGGTAGGATTGAGTCCCACATCTGTTTTAGCATGCTGGTGCCGCCAAAGTACCACAAACTGGAGGCCCCAGACAACAAAAATGTATTAACTCACAAGTTCTAGAGCCAGAAGTCCAAAATCAAGGCTTTGGCAGTGCTGGCTTCTTCCTGGAGGTTCGGAGGGTGGCTCTGTTCCCTGCCTCTCTCCTGGTGCTTCCCAGCAATCCTTGGCCTACAGCTGCACTAGTGCAGTCTCTGAGCTGTGGTCCATCATGCTTTTCCCTTTGTATCTCTGTGTCTCTTCCTATGAAGACAGGAGTGATTGCAGGAGGGCCCACACTGATCCAGGATGAGCTCATCTTAACTTGATTTTTCTGGCAAAAACCCTATTTCTCAATAAGGTCCCAAGCTGAGCTTCCAGCTGAACAGGAGCTTTGGAGGGACACTATTCAACCCACATGACCTCCCTCTTCTGAAACCAATTTCTAAATAACCTTTCTTGTTATATTTTCCATTGATTTCTGGTTTCTTGCTTCAGTCCATCAGTGTGGTGGTGGATGAACAGCAGTGGCCGAACAGTTTCCATGATCCTGTTAGCACTTGTTCTTGTTACACTCCTTGTCCCTTTCTCTTTCATGGCCTTTGTCACTGTTCAACAGTCAGAGGACTGATGCTAGGTGGACCACCAATACAGCCTGTCCACCAAACCTCAGTGGTCCATCCAGATGAGCAGGGGCGAACTAGAACCCTTACCTGGGACTTAATCTTAGAATTACACAGAAAAGCCTTTTTTCTCTCATCAAAAAGCCTCAACACTTCAGCTGCTATGGCATCAGCCTTATGAAGAAGCTGACCTGGGAGAATAAAGCCAGCACAAGAGAGAATCATAAATGAAAGATAAGAGAGTCCCAACAGCACCCATGTTCCTAACTTCACACATTAAAGCCAGTTTCAAATGACCTAAGATCAATCCACTTTTTTTCTTAGTATTTGCTAATTGCAACCAAAGAATTCTGACTAAAATAGACATCGGAGGTGTTGTGTTATGTTTTCCCAGAGCTGCCACAACATATTATCATAAACTAGGTGGCATGTAAACAGAAATTTATTGGCTCACAATTCCAGAAGATCAAAGCCTGAAGTCAGGTGACAGCAGGGCCATGCTCCCCCTGAAGGCTCCAGCGGGGAATCCTTCCTGCGTCTTCCTGGCTTCAGGTGGTTGCCAGCAATTCTCGGCTCGCAGCTGCATCACTCCAATCTCTCCCTTCATCACTGCATGGCCTTCCACCCTCTCCGTGTCTCTCTGTCTTTCTGTGTCTCCAAATCTCCCTCTCCTTGTAAGGACACCAATCATTTCATTTGGGGCCCACCCTAATCCGATATGACTTCATCTTAACTTCATTACATCTACAAAGACCCTATTTCCAAATAAAGACACAATTCCAGGTTTTGTGTCTACTACATTTACAAGTGACGAACACTAAAATTTGATCTTGGCTGATTCAAGGTGTGACAGAGAACCTTGAATAGGCTCAAGGAGGCAAAACTACTTTGCTGCTTAGTGCACTGTGCATTAAGTTCTTCCCTTTTGTCTCTTGGGAGTCAATCCCCATGCATTCTGAAATGATTTAGGGGACCTTGCAGAAATCAGTGTAGTCAATTGTGTCAACTACTTCCTAAGAAATTCAGTAAGATGCAGTGGAAGCTCTAGAGAGAAGCCACAGGCTCAGCCAACCTGCCTAGACACAGAAATGGAACAGGTGAGCAAACATGCATGGGGAGTAGCATTTAGCCCATGTCCAAATAGCTAACACCATTTAAGGACAATCGTGCAGTGACCAGGAATGAGGACACTCAGGAAGCAGCAGAGTGGACTCCCTTGGGCAAAGGGCAAGGCAGCTGCTGCTGTCAAGGGGCAGAAAAATCCCAGGCCGATCCAGACTTAAGATGTGGTTTGTATACTCTCCTTGCTGTGGGAGATTGGATTATGGTCTATCAAAGATTCACTCTATTCTCTTTAACCTCCATGACAGAAGCATACTTCTCTCCCCATTGATGTTGGCCAATGAGCATTAACAGACTTCACCCAAGCAGGGGCTTGAAATGCTCATGAAATGCCTGTCCCTTGTGCTTCTGCCATTGCCCCAAGGAGAGCACATGCTAAGCAGCACGGCACGGGAACAGCTACATGAAGCTGACTTGAAACCCACCTGCAGCCTGGAGCCAAGCCCAGCCCTGACTTAATCAGCTTAACTCCAAGCAACCTGCTGATGTGCGAGCAAGAAATCAATGGTTGTTGCCATAAGCCATTGAGTTTGGGGGTGGTTTGTTATGCAGCATATTTGTGAGAATAGCTAACTAATAGAATAGCTAATAGAGCTCTGTTCCCGAGATAAAATGGATAGACAACTGATTAGAGCTTTAGAAATTGTATCGTTTTCCAATCCTGGCAAACAGGAATTCAAACCTTATTGTAATTATATTTGCTGAGCCAGAAACATTTCTCTGCCAAAAAAATAAGTTTAAAAATGAATATTCTTAGCGATCCCTGGCCCAAATAAAGCATGATACACATGCTGAGCTAAGTTGCATGTTCTTTATACATTGCTAAATAAGAATTTTCATTATCCTGTTTTTCCTCTACTGTTTCATTTCAGATGGTTGGGTAGCTAAATTTGATATGTGGCAGGATCCCATGAAGCTATTCATCCAGAACTGACCCAGAAAACAAACCTTGGCCACAGTTCTGAGCTCAGAGTTAGACCCAAAGCTGCCTTGCTTTGACATTCATCCTTCCTCATCCTCAGCCTGCCTGTTCCCTGGAGGGTGCTCCTGCGTGCCCTCCTTACGTGGTGCTTGTGTGCCCACCTGCACCCCAGAAGGAGCTCCCAGCTGGCCTGTTCCAGCCCCATGTCACCTCCTACCAGCTTCTGCCCGGGGCAACCCAGAGAACCTCCTCTCAAGCTGGTGAGCTGCAACCACACCTCCAATGAGTCAGAGGCCCAGTCTTGGGGAGTGGGGCCCCTTTTCAAGTTTGTTTCTTCCTTGGGGACTCTCCCAGAGCCCAAATATTTTCTTCAGGTACCCCTTTATTGTTAACCCCATATAACATTTAATATTATTTATATTGATTTTCCTTTCCAAATTACTATGTGGTTTCTGTTTCCTCATTGGATGTTGATTGATTCAATTGCAGAAACTGATACAAGTTTTTCCTAAATAAACATTAATTTTATTAGTGACAGTTACTATTCTCTGGAAACCTAAATGACTTAGTTTTCTTTATTAAAATGTTTTGTTTAATAGCCTAAGCTAGGTAATTTCAAGCTTATTAATTTTCACTACATTTTATTTCAAATACACACTGGTGTATGCAATCTCTCCATCTCAGACTCTATTTAGCTCTCCCAAGCTCCACCGGCCTCACTGTCTCCCTCTGTTTCTAAAGTGGCTAACCCACAGCACAATGTACACAGAGTTTGCAAACACCCTAACCATACTGATCTGAGGAGTAAAAGAAAGGAACTAACAAAATTGTTTTGATTTCTATATTGTTGTTTAATTTCTATAACAACTCTACATAATAAAGTTATATTGTGAAAAAAGCTTCAGATTAATTTGCTCAGAATCATGTGATCATAAGCAAACCTCTATCCTTCAAAACATTTTTTCCACTGTCATGCAACTTTTTCATTAATATTATTTTTAATTGAAAAATCATCATTGTACACATGTATTGGGTACAAAGTGAAGTTCTGATATATGTACATGATGTGGAATGTTAAATCAAGTCAATTTACGTATTCATAATGTCACTTATTTTCTGTGGTGAGACATTTGAAGCTTACTCTTTGAGCATTTTGAAGTGTACTTTTAAAATGGTGGGATCATCATCTGGACTATACAAGAAATCTGTCAGTATGGTTATAGTTTCATAGAATTCCTTATATATGTGCACTAGGCAAAGAGATGGGAACAGAGTATTATTAAACTGGTGACTAGCACACAGTAGATTCACAATAAATACTTATTGAGTAAATAAAAAAAAACAGAAGAGTACAAAGTGAATCTTAGAAGTTACAAAAAAGGTGGCAAATTTGGTCTGGAATCCAAGCAGCAGAGGAACAGGTGGATAATACGCATTGTTAATTTCAGTATCTGAAACTCAATGAATAACGAAAGCAATAAAAACAAAAATGGCTGCCACTTATTGAGGATTTACATATGCCAGATCTCTGTCATATTATTTAACCTTCAATGAAAACTTATTGGAATATAGCCTGTCATTATTCCCAGCCTGCAGATGAGAAAATTGCGGGACATGACCTACCTGGAGACTCAGATTAAGTGGCAAAGTCATGACTGAATCAAAATTCAAACTTTTGGCCGGGTATGGTGGCTCATGCCTGTAATCCGAGCACTTTGGAAGGCCGAAGTGGGTGGATCACCTGAAGTCAGGAGTTCGAGACCATCCTGGCCAACATAGTGAAACCTCGTCTCCACTAAAAATACAAAATTAGCCAGGCGTGGTGGCACATGCCTGTTATCCCAGCTACTCGGGAGGCTGAGGCAGGAGAATTGCTTGAACCCAGGAGGTGGAGGTTGCAGTGAGCCAAGATCATGCTCCATCCAGCCTGGGCAACAAGAGCAAAACTCCATCAAAAAAAAAATAAATCCAAACTCTTAGCTACTGCCCTTATACTAATTGTCAAGAAAGAAGAAAACACAACCCAAATTCTTGAAAGGAACAGGGTGTGGGCAGCCAGGGAGTGCTCCCAGGTGTGTGGGCCCAGCGGCACCAGACTCTGCACACAAGAGTGCCTCCTTTCCACCCAGGCCTGGTTTCATGGAATGCCTGCTTCACCTGCCAGCATTTGCCTCAGACACATAAACTTCCCATGGAGTATATGAGTAAGCTCTGACAGCTCCATTGTTGGTGAGCTACTAGATAGCAGGAATTATAACCCAATTAAATTCAATACTCTATGGAAAAGGAAAAGGCAATGCAGTCCATCTTACTGATAGACAATTTTAGAATAGGTGTCTGTGATAGAACACACACATTATTTAATCCCCAAATAAGGGTAAAGTTTTAAAAGACAGTAAACCATAGCAGGCTCAGATATTATCTCTAAAGATTTTATTTGATATCCAGGATCCAAGAATGAAAAACATCCAACAATTATGAAACCAGCTTTTGCAATGGCTATCATCACCCAGGAAAAGGCATTGTTTAAAAATCCAAAGAAAATGGAGCAATGTTAAAACCAATCAAGCATTCAAGAACAGGTAAGGGATTAAATAAATAATGGTGAATCCATGTTATGAAATATTGGAGCTGTGCAAATGATATTTCAAGTAATCTTTATGACATGGGGAATATTTTCACTATATAATGTCATCTGAAAAAACATGCATAACGCCAATCTGTTTACACAATTTCATCTCAATTATTGAAAAGAACACATATCTATAAGAAAAAAAAAAAAGGAAGAGGCAGACTCCCGTGGAGGGCAGTTGTGCCAAGCAGAGGCATGGCCTGATGGGCTCATTGGCACCACAGACGTTGCTCTGTGGTGGGAAGAGGAGGCTGGGGGGCCAAATTCTAAGACGTGTGGCTCTCTGCATATATAGCTACGCGCGCACACACACACACACACACACACACACACACAAAGGATTTTCAACAGAGATGCAATCTACAAACTTCCTAGTGACAGGTATCATGTAGTGAGTAAACCCCCAAAAGAATCTTATGCCTATGAGGCAGAAAATTACAGATTTATCAAACTTTCCCAATTATCCATATCTGTCCCTGTCCCTTTCCTCCCCTTGGCAGAGGATGTCTCATGCTTGTCTTCTCAAAAAATGACAGTTTTGGAAAGGCCCAATGGCTTCATCCGTGAGTCGCTAAGGTGCCAGAAACCTTGCAGGATTTCCCGTGGTCTTCTGCTTTTTCAGTCTCTTTGAGTTCATATTTAGGGGCAGAAAAGCAGGAGAGCCTGAACTTGAGGCCCTGGAGCTGCTGTCAGTAAACCTGGAGAGAAGGGCTGTGTGTCTACACTCCGAGGTGCTAGATCATTATCCCCTTCAGTCTGGGTGTCTGAGAAGCTTGGTCTATCAGTCTAGCAGAACAGACTGAAGATTCCATAGGAACTCAAGGGGAACTGACTCCCGCCCTCCCTCCAGCCTCCAAACGTGAGAGGGCATCACTAAGTCCTCCTGGGGCTCTGGCTAGAGTTCATCTGGGAGGTCTTAGAAGGCTTAATTTTTCCAAATTCTCCTTCTGCTTTTACAGAATAATCCCAAAGTTGATTTTTTATTGAAGAAAAAAGATCTATATTATAAGGGTTCTTATGTAATTATTACAAAGGTAGCCTACATAGTGCAGAAATTGGAATTTGATTAGTATAAATGCATTTTTATCTGAATTTTTGCAAAGTAAGTTCAATAAGTCATTTGATTTGTTGATATTCAGTGTTTATAATTTTGTAGAGACGTGTTTTAACTTTTACTCTGTATTTCTGTGCTCAGAGAGTTGTTTGATAAGCCTGTGCAACTTGACTTCGGAGTTTTATTTCAAGCATATGTAGTTTGTATCAGGAAATCATATTTTTTTAGAATTATGTATTCATCATAGAAAAATCCTTAATTAGCAGTAGTGAAGGAAAGCTCTTAGACTGAAGACTGATTAGCCCAGCCTCCAGAGGAGATGTACGTTAGTGGGACAATGTCCTCTAATAAAGGAACATTCAAGTCAGAAATCACAGCGAAACACCTTAAATTGTTAACCACGAAGGAAACAGCGCCTCCAAATTGATAAGGCATTTAGATCTGCCTAGGCGTTAAAGAAAGTTTCATAACTGCCCACACATGTATTGCAAATATTGAATCATTAGCAATTACTTTAAATATGTTCTTTGTATTTAAAGTGACAAGAATGTTTTCTCCCTGTGGCATGCTCACCCTGGGTTCTTGGAGAACTTTATACCAATGATGTGGCCAGCGAGTCCCAGCCCAAATCATGAAATTCAAAGACGTGAGAATATGCTGGCACTTACTGCGTGCCGGGAGGGTCTCTCAAAAGGAGAAGGAACTCAGTGGTCACCTGAGGCAGGATCTTTCACACAGCAGCTCTTGTATGCAAAGAGAACATGGCGCAACTCTTTATTAACTACACTGATTTTTTTATTTTTATTTATTTTTAATTTTTTCAGAGCTGCCCCTGCTGATTATAAGGGAAAATTATCTATTAAGATTGAAAACATTAAACTCATAATTTACACTGGTTTCTCAGTTAACGCTCAGTATCCTGTAGGAAAAAGGCCAGTCTGCCAATGTTCTAGGTTACCCAGCCTCGCTGTGACTAGTCAAGATGGCATCAGAAAGGCATCATAGCTCACCAATAGCAAATGTGTGTGTGTGTATGTGTGTGTGTGTGTGTGCACTCTGTTCTTAGGCACTGGGGACACTATTAGGAACAAAATGTCAAACTCTTTGTCTTTACACAGCTCATATTTTAGTAGGGAGTTGAAGAAAGAAAATAAACAAATACATGTGTCATATGGTGATAGGTGTTAAAAAGAAACATGGGACCAGGGGCTATAGTGAAAGTAGTGCAGGGAGAATCATTCTAGAAGAGGTGGTCGGGGAAGCCACACTGATGTGGTGGTGACTGGGAGCAGAGATGTGAATGCAGTAAGCTGGCCATCTGGGCTATGTGGGGAACACATTCCTACAGGGCAGAAGACATAATAGGTGCAAAGGCCCTGAGGTGTGAGGGCACCCCCACCCTGGGTGTTTCACATACAATCTTCATGAAAAGCAGTGGGGCTCATGGGACCTTCAAGCCAAGGGAGAGAGTCAGGATCCTGGGTTGCCACGTCCGGGACAAAGGACCTCCCCATGTCATTTCTTCTTGCCTTGCTGACGTTCTCAGCTAGGTCAAGGCTGGGTGTTGCTCCTGATTTATTTCACTCTGGCCCAAAAACTCAGCAGCCTTCCTGGCTGGTGCAGCCCTACCCAGGTGCACCCTGGCCCTACATCTCATATCTGGCTGCACCTCCAGTTTGGGTCTGGCCCAGCTGGGCCACTCTTCAGCCTCTTCGTCTCTGCCAGGTTTACCCCTCTTGATCCCATATACGTCCAGGAGCCAAGAGAAGCTCGGGCCCCGCACCTCAGGGCCTCTCACTTGTTGGCTGTGCTATACCACCTAAGGGCCTTGGCTGAGCCTGAGTTGGCGTGGGGGCTGCTTCAGGAGGCCAGTCTTTCCCGGAACCTGAAACATGAATGGGGCGAGGGCCACCCTCCCCACACCAGGACCACAAAGGAGTGGGCTTTCCTTGCATTTCCCCACATCACGTCCTCCACCCTCACAGCACCAGCTCTGTGCTGACAGCAAATGAAGATATTTTCTGCACACATTTGTAGAATGTGTAGGATTGGAGTCTTCCAGGCTTAGCCCACTCTCATCCAAAGGAGGCTTATTATACTGTGAAGCTTCAGCCAACAAATCAGAGGCCAAATATGACATTGTCCAGCTTCAGTTCCATTTGCAAAATATTTCTGCCTTTAGGCCGCACTGCCTGGTGAAGTGTGCCCTCTTCCCTGCCTGTGCCATCTTTTGACTAATAGTCACGTATGTACTGCTACATATTTTTATTAGAGAAGTTACAGCCCCATTCTCACTGTTATCTTAAATTTGAAATTACTACCTCAATTTAAACTAAGATTTAATTCTTGTAAAGCAAGAATTTTAGGTATGGTCACATTGGTCAAATAGTGTAATAAACAATTGTTGTGTAAGAAATAAACACTATACCTATGTATACAGTCTTAAGATTTTATATGTCTTGCATATAGTTGATTGTATCACTTAATGAACAATTTTTAAACTGAAATTTGCATATATATGATAAACGATAGAAAGATAAATGATAGAGAATAGGTTATATATACGTGTGTGTACAAATATATATATATATAGAGAGAGAAATGTATATAATTCACTGAATGATTTCCTTCAGTTAGAAGGAATCTATGCACATCTATTTTTTTTTCCATCTTGTATTAGATGGAAGTTATATTTTTTCCTTAGGCGTTACCATAAAAGGATGAAAGGAGATCAAGGGAGGCCAGAAGGGAGAGTGTCTGTAGCTACATTCCCAATAAGTTCTTTCCAACTGCCACTTAGGCAATTGCTAGAAAAACTATCAGCAAAGAATGGGGCTTGCTTTGGCTTAAACTGTCAACGCTAGGTTGTTTGGGTCCTCACGCTGATCTGTGCCAAGGTGCAATGCTTTATCAAGGCTGCAGACACCTTTCTAGTAGAAGCGCCACTTCAGCCTGGAGGAAGCAGCAGGGAGACACCAGGGCAGGACCCCAAATGCCACAGCCATTCACAGGCCCTCAGGCAGCAGTCACCAGTCCCCATTACTGAGAAATGACTTGCAGTTGTTTGTTTCTCTTATTCTGTCTTGGAAGCCACATTGTGGTTCTTACTGGAGTCTGACTCATTTATATTCATGTTTTAAAGAAAAATTTTTTTTTTTTTTGAGATGGAGTCTTGTCCTGTCCCTCAGGCTGGACTGCAGAGGTGCGATCTTGGCTCACTGCAACCTCTGCCTCCTGGGGTCAAGCAATTCTCCTGCCTCAGCCTCCCCAGTAGCTGGGATTACAGGCACCCGCTACCACACCCGGCTAATTTTTGTTTTTTTTTTTTTTTCGTAGAAACAGGGTTTCACCATGTTGGCCAGGCTGGTCTCAGGAACTCCTGACCTCAGGTGATCCGCCCGCCTCGGCCTCCCAAAGTGCTGGGATTACAGGCGTGAGACACCACGCCTGGCCAGAAAACATTTCTTAAGTATAGAAAAATGAAATTAACTGCCGTGATTCAGGGTTGGAGGAATTAAGTCAGTTGTTTTGTTTTAAAAGTCTTGTGTTACCACAAATGTGTAGGGAAAGAGTCAGAATAAGAGGCCATTTCTATCCACTCAAGGATGAAACAGGGCAGATGTTCAGTGCCTGCTGCCTCCATTCCAATTCAGCAGCTGCCTGGGGTAACAGGGCCCATATTTCTTTATCTTCTAGATGAGAATAAGCCTGCTTTGAGCACGGCAGACTTTTTTTTTTTTTTTTTTTTTTGAGACGGAGTGTCGCTCTGTCGCCCGGGCAGGAGTGCAGTGGCGCGATCTCAGCTCACTGCAAGCTCCGCCTCCCGGGTTCATGCCATTCTCCTGCCTCAGCCTCCCGAGTAGCTGGGACTACAGGCGCCCACCACCTCGCCCCGCTAATTTCTTGTATTTTTAGTAGAGGCGGGGTTTCACCATGTTACCCAGGATGGTCTCGATCTCCTGACTTCGTGATCTGCCCGCCTCGGCCTCCCAAAGTGCTGGGATTACAGCGTGAGCCGCCGCGCCCGGCCGAGCACCGCCGACTTCTAACCATGACTGGGCATCCTGAGCACTCATTCCCCAGCCTGACAAGAGGAACCAGGTGCGCCAAGCATTGGGGGGATGGTCACTATTGCTGACCGGTCTCCCTCGGGCGCTCCACTCTGGGCAGCTGAGCACTCTGCCAGGAGATGGGGCAGAACCACCCCAGTAACCACACACTCCCACTCTGTTCCAGGCATAGTGTCCAGCCTCTCTGGGCTTCCTCTGGCAAAGCCCGTCTAACTGCATGGAGCACAGATCCTGGGGCCACTTCTCTCTGCAAAGCCCTTTCTCCTTGTCATCTGAAGAAATCTGGAGAAATTTACATAGACCTGAAACCCTGAAACCTACACTGGCCCCTCTGGGGTGCCAAGCTTTTTTCTTCTCAGTGGCCTGAATTTTTCTTTAAATTCTTTTTCCCACTTAAGAATGGGGAGAGGGAAGAGGAGGTTAAGGACAATCAGGATGTGAACACCTTAATACCTGAGTGGACTCTCCTCACACTAGATTCACAAAGAAAAATTAAACTACTTTTTAGTGATAGGATCATTTTAACTTTTCTTCCTGTAACATTTTCAAAAATGATACGTAAAAAAGAAAAACATTTCAGGTGTTTTCTGCTGGCAGCCTAGGGAAGTAATTGTTATTACTATTATTTTTACTGTTATTTATACACCCCATTATACTTCAGGGAATCTGAGATGAAAGAAACTAGTTTATAAAAACCAATACAAATTCTCATGATTCAAATAAACTGTTGGCTGGGCGTGATGGCTCACACCTGTAATCCCAGCACTTCAGAAAGCCAAGGCGGGTGGATCACCTGAGGTCAGGAGTTCGAGACCAGCCTGGTGAACATGGCGAAACCCCATCTCTACTAAAAATACAAAAATTAGCCGGCCGTGGTGGCACATACCTATAATCCAAGCTACTTCGGAGGCTGAGGCAGGAGAATCACTTGAACCCAGGAGGCAGAGGTTGCAGTGAGCCGAGATCGCGCCATTGTACTCTAGCCTGGGCAACAAGAGTGAAACGCCATCCCAATAAATAAATAAATAAAAATTTTAAAATAAACTTATAAAATTTCTTATTCTAATAATTTAACTCAGCACAGTTACAATTAAATAGTGTAAAGATCTTTTGGATTTGGTTTTGGCTTTTTTCTCAAATCACTCTGGGTGGCTCCCTGTTGATGTTCAACCATGTCTGGTTTGGTGGAATATGTAAGTTGAATAGAATGGTATTGGTAGTGATTTTCTGTCAATTGGTAAGTTAAGAAATGATTTAATTATGCAAAAAGCAGACTGTGCTATGTTATGAAAAGACCTCCTTGAGGGCTTGGGGTCTTTTCTTTCTCAGCACTGCTGAAACAGTGGATACCTAGCAAGCTTGGGTACAGTGTCCAGCTGAGGCTTCCACAGCTTACAGAGCAAACCTCACTGCTATGCCAGAGGCTTGTCAGGAGAAGAGCTTGGATCTGGGATACACAATTAAGAACTCATTTAAAAGAAAGATCCTGGAACGTTAAACATCAAAATATCTGTGCATTTATATATACAGTACATACTTAGTATGACACTGGTTACCAACTTGGCTGAGTCTGCTGAGATGGAACACAAACACACAAAAGTCACGTACGTGGATTTGTTACTTACAGATAGGCAGCACCTGGGCTTCATGGCAAGCTAGTCCTCCAAGGCTGGGGAAAACTGCTCGGGGGAGGTGTAGTCCTGTCTGTGCATGCCACACTTGTACCTCAGCTAGGGACCCGCAAAAGCAGCCCACCCTGGGTTTTATACTCCAAGGTGAAGTTACCCCCTGGACAAAACATTGAAAGACATTCTGTTTCCAAGGAACTGGAACAGGGCCTGGGCTGTTCTAGCCATTCCTTTCTTCTCTCAGGATGTTGCATTCCCAGTACATTCTACAGTTATTCTTGAGAACTACAAGAGACAGGGGAGAGAACTGGGTTGGTCCAAGGCCACCCAGAGAACTGTCCTGCACTTAGATCCTTCTAACCTTTGCAATTAAGATAAATGCTGCTAATTAGTCAAACTTCTGTTATGATAATTATTCAAACATAATCTTAAGTGCATTTATTATGTAACTAGAGAAATCAGAAACAAATAAACTGAGCATTGAACCCAAGAAGCTGGATGAAAATGCAAAAGAAATAGGGGAAAGATCTTAAAAACAAGTTTATAAAATAGAAAAGAAACATTTTTAAGTGACATTTTCTGATTTTTTTCATGTTCATATCATTTGAATATTTTTCTACATGAATATTTGTAGTTTTAGTACTGACTTGTAGGAGCTGTAAATGGCAATTTATTGTTATAGAGGATACAAATGTTTTTCATGTATTTATTCACTTTCCTATAAAGTTTATTTACACTATTCTCACTGATAATATTTAAAATTAGAACATAGAATTTAATATTCTTCAGATATACTCATCATAGCTAAATTTGATTATTCTCTTCTGTGTTATATAACTGTCTTCTGAGTTATCTGTTACTGGACATTTGGATGAATAGCTTCAAGGGCATGTGTTGGATATATTAACTAAATACTTACTGAGGTACATTGTTAACAAAAACAAAAGTTCAGTGGAGCTCATATTGATCAGCCAGTTTTCCACAGCAGTATCTTCATTCTGTGGATGACATAAAATCTAATCCTCCAAAAATACTGTTGTGTTTTTCCCTACATGTTCGTTCCTGACTTTAGTAAAGTGTTTAAATCCTTCTAAAAGATTCTGCCTTATATCAAATAATAGAAACAAATACCCAGATTCTTCTGTTTTTAAAGAGTTTAAAGTCAACTGCTTTTTATTTATTTTTTTTCAGAAATGAAAAGTAGGATGTTTTAAAAATACTTCTTAGGGCCGGGCACGGTGGCTCACGCCTGTAATCCCAGCAATCTGGGAGGACAAGGTGGGCAGATCACCAGGTCAGAAGATAAGAGACCATCCTGGCTAACACAGTGAAACCCCATCTCTACCAAACATACAAAAAAAAAAACAAAAAACAAAAATTAGCCGGGCTTGGTGGCGGGCACCTGCAGTCCCAGCTACTCGGGAGGCTGAGGCAGCAGAATGGTGTGAACCCGGGAGGTGGAGCTTGCAGTGAGCCGAGATGGCACTGCACTCCAGCCTGGGCTACAGATGAAGGCTCTGTCTCAAACAAAACAAAACAAAACAAAAAAACCTTTATAGGATGAGACCACTACACTTTTTTCAAGTGAGATCACTAGATCATTCTTTTTTTTTTTTTTTTTTTTTTTTGAGACGGAGTTTGCTCTTGTTGCCCAGGCTGGAGTGCAATGGTGCGATCTCAGCTCACCACAACCTCCGCCTCCCAGGTTCAAGCAATTCTCCTGCCTCAGCCTCCCGAGTAGCTGGGATTACAGGCATGCACCACCACGCCCAGCTAATTTTGTATTTTTAGTAGAGACGGGGTTTCTCCACGTTGAGGCTGGTCTGGAGCTCCTGACCTCAGGTGATCCACCCGCCTCGGCCTCCCAAAGTGCTGGGATTACAGTTGTGAGCCACCGCGCCCGGCCTAGGTCATTCTTATCATTGTTTTTACTTAGCACTTTCCCACTGTTGGGATGTAGCCGCTCTTAGATGATATGTGCCAATAGAGCAAATCATCAAAAATGGAAACTCTTCTGTTTCGCCAATATTTCAGTTTCACAATTAACTACTTCCTGATTTTAAGATGATGGCTGGTACAAAATAAACCCATTCCATTTTATTATACCATTTCCTTTTTGAGAGAAGTCAAGCATCAATGAAGATCTGTAAAACTTAGTTGAGTTTTCATTTCTCATACCAGAAGAATTTCCAGGGCTTTATAAACTTAAGAGAGAGCATTCTACTAATCAGTCCACTAAAATACGCTTTGAAAGTAGTTCCAAAATACCTTTTATAAGATTATTTACTATAAGTTTCTTCTGCATAAGTTTGTATATCACCTAACTTTTTAAAAATTATTAAGAATACATCATCATATCCTTCTTTAAATTCATCTTGGACTGATCCACACTATATAATACAAAATGAGAAACAACTAAAGTTGACACAGATAAAAATCTGTATCCCTCAGTACTCCTTTTATTAAGCAAAAAATGGAAAACAAACTAAGAAATAAGGTATTTTATGAAATTAGGGATGCTATTACGAGGAAAATGTAGTAGTACTGGACCTGTCCAAGGTGAAAAGTTCAAAGAGAGAAATTTTCGTCCACAAGCTAAAAACCCAAAATGGCTACATAGCCAGTGTAAGTGTCAATCTCATTTCTGGAGTGCTGTAAGAAAATAACTATCAGTCTAGAATTCTATATCCAGCACAAATATTCTTCAGGAATAAAGTGGAACATCAAGAAGAAAGTAGAAACAATAAAAAGAGCAAAATTTTGGGTAAATACAGGTTTTCCTTCTACTCTTGAATTTCCAAATTATGTTTGACTATTGAAGTAAAAATTATAATAATGTCTGATGTGATTCTCGATGTATGTAGAAAAATATTTAAGACCATTATATTATTATTATTATTATTATTTTTGAAACAGAGTCTCCTTCTGTCACCCAGGCTGGAGGCAGTGGCACGATATCGGCTCACTGTAAGCTCTGCCTCCTGGGTTCACGCCATTCCCCTGCCTCAGCCTCCCGAGTAGCTGGGACTGCAGTTGCCTGCCACTACGCCCAGCTAATTTTTTGTATTTTTTAGTAGAGACGGGGTTTCACTGTGTTAGCCAGGATGGTCTCGACCTCCTGACCTGGTGATCCGCCTTGGCCTCCCAAAGTGTTGGGATTACAGGCGTGAGCCACTGCGCCCGGCCAAGACCATTATATTATAAATGGAGAGGGAAAGAGACACAAAAGGGGATATAATTTCTATACTTTAACTGAACTGGTAAAATATTGATACCAGCAGAATGTGCTGTTACGTGTGTATAATTTAATACCTAAAGGACTCCCAAAAAGCTATACAGAGAGATATACCCAATAACACTAGAGATAACAAAAAAATGGAATTCAAAAAAAAAAAATGAAGTAGCCCACAGTGAAACAGGAGAAAGAAAAACATAGATGTAAGAAACAAAGAATAGACACAAAACAAAAAAAGAAGACTTAAACTCTAAAATATCAGTAATTACATTAAATGTAAATAGTTTAATTTAGAAGATTCTAAAAAAAAAAAAACCCCAAAAAAGTATACAAATGAAGAAGAAATTTGAGCTTTCAAGGGATAGGAATCATGGGGGTAGGAAGGTGACAGTAAGGGGTTGCATGAGGGAGATCTCTGTGGTGAGGGAGATCTCTGTGGTGAGGGAGATCTCTGTGGTGTGGGAGATCTCTGTGATGATGGAGTATTTCTGTATTTTAATTTCTGTGGTGGTTACACAAATCTACACATGATAAAATGACAAAACTATACAAACCATATTATGCCATTGTCAAAATCCAAACTTTGACATTGTGCTACAGTTATGTAAGATACATCTATTAGGGAAATTGAGTGAAGGGTATGAGGAAACTGTATTATCTGTGAAACTTTCTGCAAACCTATAATTATTTCCAAGTAAAAGTTTAAAAGACTCTTACAAAGAAACACAGAGATAAAAATATCAATGATTCAATAAAAGGATGGCAAATATACTCTCAGATAAACAAAACTAGGAAAATTTTGCCATAATCATATTATTCTACATCACTAAAGGAATTTCTTATAAAAAGAAGGGAAGTGACAACAGATGGATGTTCCAGAATGCAAGAATAATTAAAGCACTGAGACTGATAAATATAGGAGTTAATCTAAGTGAACGTTGAAAAGCAATAGCATTTTACACACCTAGTAACAGATCCTCAAAATAGATGAAAGAAAAGTTGACAGAACTGAAAAGATAAATATGCAATTCTACAATAATAATAATTGGAGACTTCAACACCCCACATTCAATAAGAAATATATAACAAACAGAAGATACGTAAGAAAATGGAGGACTTGAACAACACTATAAACCAGGTGGATCTAAGAGGCATACACAGAATACTCTACCCAACAACAACAGCAAACAAATTCTTAAAGGCACATGAGACATTTCTCCAAGACAGACCATATGTTAGGCCACAAATTAAATCTCAATAGATTTTAGAAGATAGTTGCCATACAAATGGTATCTTCTCAGACCACAACAGGATGAAGTTAGATATCAATAACAGAAAGCAAACAAAAAAGAAATGGAGATCTGCTATTACATGAAATGGACACTGCATTTCAAAAACTTAGTGTAATTGGAAAAGTTTCCTTATCCCCCAGCAGGGCGTGTGATGGGGGTGTGGCTCACTTCTTTGGTGCCCTGCTACTCATACCTCTAGGGGAACCATGCAGACAGGCAGGGCATGGGAAGCGCTGGCACCATGGCAGCCTCCAAGGTTGAGTGTTTACAACTTCTGAAGCCCCAGTGGGCATATATTACAGTTAACTCTTTCAGTTTTGCGGTCTGCAGGTGGCTTGTGTTAATTAGCTCAATTAGACACTGTGCCTTATCGCAAGGACAGAGGGCTTTTTGTATCCTGGGTTCTTGCCTTGGTGTACCAAAAAAATTAGATCACACGTGGGTTTGGAGAATGAGTGCAAGGTTTTATTGAGTGGAAGTAGCTCTCAGCAGATGGAGGGGAGCCAGAGGGGGGATGGATTGGGAAGGTGGTTTTCCCCTGGAGTGGAGCCGCTCAGTAGCCAGACTCTCCGACTGAATTCCCCTCAGCGTTTCGTCATTCCACTGGTGTCTGCCAAAGTGTTCCTCTGCCTGTGTGTTCCTCTCAATGTCCAGCCATTTGAGTGTCCTTCCACTTGTGTGTGTTCCTCTTGATGTCCAGCTTCTGTGTCTCTGCCCGCTAAGGTCTCAGGGTTTTATAGGCACAGGATGGGGGCATGGCAGGCCAGGGTGGTCTTGGAAAATGCAACATATGGGAACGAAAGCAGAAATATCTGTCCTCACCTAGGTCCATGGGCACAGGCCTGAGGGTGGAGCCCTAGCCAGGGACCTTCTCCTCTACCCAACACTGCCCTGCCCTCCTCCTATATCATTAGTACAAAAGAAAGAATGTAAGATATCTCGATACTAATTTCTTTCATTGATGATGTATTGGAATGGTATGATAATACTACGAATATATTAAGCTAAATAGAGTATACTATTAAAAATATTTTTAAAGAAGGAAAACTAGAAAATTCAAACATTTGTGGAAATTAAACAACACATTCTTAAACAAGCAATGGATCAAAAAAGAAATTGCAAATGAAATTAGAAAACAGAGTTGAATGAAAATGAAAACACAACATACCAAAACTTGTGGGATGCACTGAAAGCTGTGCTCACAGGGAAATGTATAGCTATAAATAACTATATTGAAAAGGACATTCCAAATCAGTAACTTAACTTTCCACCTTAAAGAATGAGGATATAAAGAACAAATTAAACTCAAAACTAGAAGGAAATAAACAATAAAGATTAGAGCACAGAAAAACAAAATGGGGACTAGAAAAACAATAGAGAAAAATCAATAAAATCAAAAGTTGGTTTTTTGTAAAGATCAACAAAATTGACAAACTTACCTAGAAAGACTAAGAAGAAAAGGGAAAACATGCAAATGACAAAAATTAGACATGAGAATGGGGACAATACTAGTGATGTTATAGAAATAAAGAATTAAGAGTACTGTGAGCAATTGTATGCCAAACAAATAACCTAAAATAAATGCATAAATTTCTTAAAACACACAAATTATCTAAACTGACTAAAAAGAAGAAACCAAAGTGATTAACAAATATAAATTTTAACAGATATAACAAATAAAGAAAGAGAGAGAGAATTCTGGAATGGCAAATTAAGAAGCACCGGGAAACTGTCTCCCCCAACTAGACACAATTGCATTGATAGAATATGTCTGACGTAATTCTTTTTTTTTTTTTTTGAGACAGAGTCTTTGCTCTGTCAACCAGGCTGGCATTCAGTGCCACGACCTGGACTCACTGCAAGCTCCGCCTCCTGGGTTCATGCCATTCTCCTGCCTCAGCCTCCCTAGTAGCTGGGACTACAGGCGCCTGCCACCACACCGGCTAATTTTTTGTATTTTTTAGTAGAGACGGGGTTTCACGGTGTTAGCCAGGATGTTCTTGATCTCCTGACCTGGTGATCCACCCGCCTCGGCCTCCCAAAGTGTTGGGGTTACAGGCGTGAGCCACTGCAGCCAGCCTGATGTAACTCTTTTGGAACTCTAGAGTCTGTTAAAGGTTTGCGACTTCCAGGGAAAGGTTGGATGGTAAATTGCATTAATTTTGTCAATTTCAGCTCTTAGCACAGTAGCAACTATCCATCCCTTACCTCCACTCACATGGCAGGTAGCTGTGCATGCATTCCAATAGCAGTTTCCATTCAGCTTGCAGAGGCCAGGGTGGCCAAATAGTACCCTGTCCTCCAAATATCAGAGATCTATTCTCTGATTGCTAATTGCTGCTTCTGATCTCAGATATTCTGATAAAGGATTAATATCCAGACTATATGAAGAACTCTCAGATCAGAATATCTCAGACATTCTGATAAAGGATTAATACCCAGACTATATGAAGAACTCTTAATACTTGATATGGTTTGGCTCTGTGTCCCCACCGAAATCTTATGTTGAATCGTAATCCTCACATGTCGGGGGGACCTGGTGGGAGGTGACTGAATCATGGCGGTGGACTTCCCTCTTGCTGTTCTCATGCCATTGAGTGAGTTCTCACGCTATTGAGTGAGTTCTCACAAGATCTGGTTGCTTGAAAGTGTGTGGCACTTCCCCCTTCACTCTCTCTTTCTCTCCTACCACCATGTGAAGAAAGTCCTTGGTTCCCTTTCATCTTCCGCCGTGATTGTAAGTTTCCTGAGGCCTCTCAGTCATGCTTCCTGTTAAGCATGCAAAACTGTGAGTGAATTAAACCTCTTTTCTTCATAAATTACCCAGTTTCAGGTAGTTCTTTATAGCAGTGTGAAAACGGACTAATGCAATACTCAACAACAAAAAACAAACAAACAAACATTTAAAAATGGGCAGACGACTAGAATAAACATTTCTCCAAAGAAGACCTACAAATAGCCAATAAATACATAAAGAGATGTCCAACATCATTAGTAGATAGAAAAATACAAATCAAAACCACGAGATACCATGTCACACCTACAAAGATGGCTATACAAATGATAATAAAGATAATAATTGAAAAATAATAAATACTGGTGAGAATGTGGAGAAATTGGAACGTGCATTAAGGGTGGAAATGTAAAATGTGGTGCAACTGCTTTGTAAGATAATTTGGCAGTTTCTCAAATAGTTAATCTTAAGACTACCAAATGACTCAGCAATTCCTCTCCTAAGTATGTATAGAAAACAATGGAAAGCAAGGACTAAAGCAGTTATTTGTGTACTAATGTTCATATCAGCATTATTCATAACATCCAAAAGGTGGAAGCAATCCAAGTGTCCATCAACAGATGGATAGATAAAGAATATGTGGCATTGTGATGGAATACTATTCAGCTATAAAAAGAAATAAAATTTTTATATTTGCTACAACATGAATGAACCTTGAAAATATTATGCTTTGTTTAATAAGGCAGATATAGCAGGACAAATATCGTACAATGCCATGTATATAAGGTACCTAGAGTAGGCAAATTTACAGACAGAAAGTAGAATCAAGCTTACTAGAGGATAAGGAGTGGGGAAATGGGTACTTATTGATTAATGACTACAAAGTTTATGTTGAGGATAATAAAAATTTTTGGTGTAGGGGCTAAGCACGGTGGCTCACACCTGTAATCCCAGCACTTTGGGAGGCTGAGGCAGGTGGATCACGAGGTCAGGGGATCGAGACCATCCTGGCGAACATGGTGAAACCCCGTCTCTATTAAAAATACAGAAAAATTAGCCGGGCGTGGTGGCGGGCGCCTGTAGTCCCAGCTACTCTGGAGGGTGAGGCAGGAGAATGGCATGAACCCGGGAGGTGGAGCTTACAGTGAGCAGGGGTCGTGCCACTGCACTCCAGCCTGGGCGACAGAGCAGACTCCGTATAAAATATATATATATATATATATATTTTTTTTTTTTGGTGTAGATAGTAACAATAGTTATATAACATTGTAAATATATTTAATGCTACTGAACTGCATACTCACAAATGGTTACAATGATAAAAAGTATGTTATGTATATTTTACCACAATAAAAAATAGAAAAAAATAATGGCATCACCTTGTAGAATGTTTAAGATAAAAAATGAAATTTTATTAACAGCAGAATAAAAAGAGAGGAAGGAAAATAAAGTAAAAGAGTCTTCTAATGCTCCTTTATCATTTGGTATGAGGTCAAGATACAGATTAACTGAGAAACTGATCAATTAAGTGCTGTAGTGCTCAATTTTATGTGTTCAACTTTACTAGGCCACATGGTGCCCAGACATTTGATCAAACATTATTCTGGATGTGTCTGTGAGAGTATTTCTGGATAAATTAACATTTGAATCAGTAGACTGAGTAAGGCAGATTGTGCTCCCCAATGAGAATGGGCCTCATTCAATCAGCTGAAGGCCTAAATAGAACAAGAAAGCTGACCTTTTCTTTCATGCCTGACTGTTGGAGCTGGGATATGCATCTTTTACTGCCTTCAGACTTGAACTGAGAAACGGATTCTTTTTAGGTCTCAAGACTGCTGGCTTTCAGACTGTGTGTGTGTGTCCTGTTGGTTCTGTTTTTCTGAACAATATGGATATTAATATAGTATCTATGTTATAATTATTACAATAAAAATAAAAATAGTATACAACTTCTAAATTACAAGGGGGGAAATTAGATAAGAAAATATAAACAACCTAAGATAAAAGAAAATGGAACATGGATAAACTACGAACACAGATATAATGGAAAATACACACCTATATATATCAGTAATTGTTTTAAACATAAACTGACTAAACTATTTATTTTAAAGTAAAAATGAACAGACTATAACACAAAACCCAATTTGCTCCTGTTTTCACAAGACATATATAAAACATTAGGATACAGAAAGGTTAATGATTTAAAAAGTAAAAAGGCATACCAGGAAAATATTAACCATAAAAGCTAACATAGACATGTTATTATTAGGAAGATAAAATAATTATAATATATATACATCTAATTACCTAGCCTCAACACTCATAAATAAAAACATCCCTAGAACTACAAAGAAAATCCTCTACTCTGATTATTTTTCTTTTTAACACATTTTTATCACTAATTAATAGAAGAAACTAAGAGGATTTAGAAGATTTGAACCTCATAAAACTGTCACTCAGTCAAATGCTGCCAAAATACACATCATTTTCAAGCACATACAGAACATTTATTTAAAAAGAAGCACACACTGAACCATAAATAAAATCTCAACAAATTTCAAATGATGGAAAATCTACAGATATTTTCTGATAAGGAAGCCATTAATCTGGAGAAAAATAAAAACATCAAAAATATCTAGAAAAATATGGAAATTAATAAACACGCATTTCATTTACCCATAAGTCAAAAAGAAATCTAAAAATAAGTAGAAAATATACAGATGTCTATAAGAATAATTAGTTCAAAATTACTGTAGGAAAATATATACAGTACATCTCTCTAATAAAAAAATTTACAATAAAAATCCCCTCCAAGAGATGGGCCAGCCGAGATAGTCAAATAAAAATAACAAAAGATATCCAGATTGAAAAAGAAGAAGTAAAACTATCTCTACTTATACATGACCTAAGTTTTGTATACAGATAATTCAAAAGAACACCCCGGAAAACTATTAGAACTAATGCGTTCAGCAAGTTTGAAGGATAAAAATCAATATTAAAAATTAATTTTATTTTTATATGTTAACAATGAACATTCAGTGAATGAAATTAAGAAAACAATTTCATTTGACATGTGAGGTAATTCAGGAATGGAAAACCAAATACCACATGTTCTCACTTATAAGCTAAGCTATGGGTAGGCAAAAGCATACAGAATGTTATGATGAACATTGGAGACTCAGAAGGGGAAGGGATAAAAAACTACTTACTGGGTACAATGTACACTCCTCAGGTGTCAGGTGTACTAAAATCTCAGACTTCACCACTACACAATTCATCCATGTATCCAAAAACCACTTCTACCCCTAAAGCTACTGAAGTAAAATATATATATATATACACAATTCCATTTGAAATGACATCAAAAAGAATAAAATACTAAGGTATAATTTAACAAAAGAATTGCAAGATTTGTATACTAAAAACTTCAAACCAGTTTTAAAAGAAATTAAAGATCTAAATAAATGGAAAGATATTACCTAGACAATATTTTTGTTGTTGTTGTTGTTGTTTGTTTGTTTGTTTTGAGGCAGAGTTTCACTCTTGTTGCCCAGGCTGGAGTACAATGGCACAATCTCGGCTCACTGAAACCTCCCCCGCCTCTCGAGTTCAAGCGATTCTCCTGCCTCAGCCTCCCAAAGACTTAATATTGTTAAATGACCATACTTTGTAAGCTGATCTACAGATTCAACACAATCTCTATCAAAATCTTAGCTAGCTCTTTTTCAGAAACTGACAAACTGATCTTAAAAGTTCTGAAAATTCAGGGACCAAGAATCCCCAAAACAATTTTGAAAAAGAATAAATTTAAAGGATTCCCGTTTAATGATTTTAAAACATAACACAAAGCTATAATAATAAAAACAGTGTAGTATGGCCATAAGAATAACACATAGATCAGTAGAACAGAATTGAGAATCTAAAAATAAATTATTATATTTATAGCCAATGAATTTTTCAGAAGGGTTCTAATAAAAGTGCTTGGAGAAAGAAGAGCCTTTTCAACAAATGTGGCTAGATAACTCAATGCCCTATCTCACACCATACACAAAAAGCTTATTCAAAAAGATTAAAAACCTAAGTATAAGCATAAAAATCTGTAAAACTTTTAGAAGAAAATAGAGGAGTGAAATTTTCTGACCTTGGGTTTAGGCAAAGATTTTTAAGGTACAACAGCAAAAGCACGAGCAATGAAAGAAAAAATAAATTCGACTTCATCAAAATTTAAAAGTTTCGTGCTACAAACGATACCATCAAAAAAAGACAAAACTTGCAGCAATGAATAAAATATTTGCATGCCATATATCTGATAAGGGTCTTATATCCAGAATATAAAGGAATCATACCACTCTCAATAGTAGCAAGGCAAATAAACCAAATACAATATAGGCAAAGGATTTAAATAGGCATCTCTCCAAAGAAGATGTACAAATATCCACAAACATATGAAAATTGGCTCAACATCACTATTCATTATGGAAATGCAAATCAAAATCACGTCTACAAAGACAGCTATAATCGAAAAGGCAGACAGTAAAAACTTTTGGCAAGGATTTGAAGACATTTAAACCCTCACACACTGTTGATAAATATGTGAAATGATGCAGCCATTGTGGAAAACTGACAATTCCTCAAAAAATTAAACATAGAATTACAATACGATTCAATAATTCCACCATTAGGTGTGAAACATGTTCACACACACACAGACACAAATGTGTACATGGGCCAGGCGCGGTGGCTCACGCCTGTAATCCTAGCACTTTGGGAGGCCGAGACAGGCAGATCATGAGGTCAGGAGTGTGAGAGCAGCCTGGCCAATATGGTGAAACCCCATCTCTACTAAAAATACAAAAATTAGCCAGGCATGGTGGCACGTGCCTGTAGTCCCAGCTATTTGGGAGGCTGAGGCAGAAGAATCACTTGAACCCAGGAGGCAGAGGTTTGCAGTGAGCAGAGATCATGCCACTGCACTCCAGCCTGGGCGACAGAGCAAGACTCTCTCAAAAAAAAAAAAGTGCACATGAATGTTCATAGCAGCATTATTCCTAATAGCCAGAAGTGGAAACAACCCAATGTCCAAAATGCCCATTTATCCTGATGAATGGATAAGTAAAATGTGGTACATAAATACAATGAAAGATTATTCTGTCTTAAAAAGAAATGAAGTATTGATATAGGCTACAACATAGATGAACCTTGAAAGCATTATACTAAGTAAAAGAAGCCAGCCACAAAAGACCATATATTGCATGGTTCCAATTCTATTAAATGCCCAGAATAAGCAGGTAGATTAGTGGTTACTTCGGGTAGAGAGGTGAGGAGTTGGTGAAGTGGGGAAGGAGAGGAGAATAGCAAGTGACTGCTAACGAGCATGGGGTTTCTTTTAAGGGAAATAGAAGTATTCTAAAGTTGAATAATGGTAATGGTTTTACAAAACTGTGAATATAGTAAAAAACATTAAATTACATACTTTAAATGGGTGAATATTATGGAATGTAAAATTATATCTCAATAAAACTGTTTTTTTAAAAAACCTTTTCTTATAGAACATATCTTCCCACCTTTCATTATAAAAACTCAGTGCTTAGGCAGGAACTAAAAGGAACTCTGTGTTTGTTTAATGTGTGATTGGGCTTAGGGAAAAGTACTGAATGAGCACAACAGATTGTAACATCAGTTACTTACGGATTACCCAAATTTTGTATACGTATAATCCAAAAGAATACCCCAGAAAACGATTCCTAATAAATGAGTTCAGCAAGTTTGAGGGATAAAAATCAATATTAAACAATTAATTGTATTACTATACACTCGCAGTGAGCACTAAGTGAATGAAGTTAAGAAAACAACTCCATTTGAAATGTGAAGTAACCCAGAATAGAAAACCAAAACCATATATTCTCACTTATAAGCTAATATGGGTAGGCAAAGGCATAGTGTGGTATAAAGGACACTGGAGACTCAGAAGCGGGAGGGGAGAGCGGATGTAAAAACAGGAAATAGGATAGAAGAGGGGTGTAGAATAATTTTTGTTTGTTTGTTTGTTTTTTGAGACGGAGTCTCCTTCTGTCGCCCAGGCTGGAATGCAGCGGCGCGATCTCGGCTCACTGCAAGCTCTGCCTCCCAGGTTCACGCCATTCTCCTGCCTCAGCCTCCCGAGTAGCTGGGACTACAGGCGCCCACCACCGTGCCCGGCTAATTTTTTGGTATTTTTAGTAGAGACGGGGTTTCACCGTGTTAGCCAGGATGGTCTCGATTTCCTGACCTCGTGATCCGCCTGCCTCGGCCTCCCAAAGTGCTGGGATTACAGGCGTGAGCCACCGCGCCCGGCCGAATAACATTTTTTTAATCATGTAGAAAAGAGAAGATATACACAGAATGTTAACTGAACAGGAAGAATATAAAATTCCGTGTATAATATCTGCAAGTGTAAAAATGTGCAGAAACAAAAAGCATACAGTGTATGCCCTATTAAAATAATTCTATAGCAAGCTGGCTGGTTTCGTTTGGTTACAATTCAATTATTAGCTGGACAAAAACTGAGTTTTTTGGCCTATTCATGTAAGATCTTTGTTAAGAGGCATATACCACGGAAGTTTTTTTCTCTAAAAGGTTTAAAACCCAAAAGAGTATATGTAGATTCAAGAGAGCAGATAGGAAGCATGCCTTTCATTCTACTTACCCCTGAAATGCCACTAAGATGACAATAAGGGGGTTGTCTTTGTAAAAAACATAATAAACCCATAAGGATGAAAGAAGAGAAAACAGGAACTTGGGGATCTGGAAAAAAAGATGGATATGTGCCATTGACTTAGTAGTTTATATCACGTGTAGAAGAGGTTCGAATTATACGAAATGGTCCCACTCCCAAAGTTCAGGAATTGATGACATTAGGTACACTTGAGAGAAAGGACCATGTAAAGGACATTGCCAGGAGTCACATTACCAGGTCCCCCTCCCAGCTCTAGATAACTGCCTTTCCCCCAACATGTGTCCCATCTCAGGTCCTCTCAACCCCCTTTGACTTCAGCCATGGCTGCACTACCCTGAATGCTTTCTGCAATGAGCTTTACTGAAATTTCTCAGGACACAGCACACAGGTCTGCATAACCTGGGAGTGGAGAGGCATTAACTCCAAAGAAACAACCTGCTTCTGTTGGAGGACAATAGCCATCAAGAGGATGCATTTCATGTAGTTCCTCAAACAGTTCCAGCAGTATTCAGCCCTATCTGCAGAGGTGAGCCCCTATGTAATTTTTTTTTTTTTTTTTTTGAGACAGAGTCTTGCTCTGTCGCCAGGCTGGAGTGCAGTGGCACGATCTTGGCTCACTGTAATCTTCTCCTCCTGGGTCAAGCAATTCTCCTGCCTCAGCCTCCCAAGTAGCTGGGATTACAGTCACCTGCCACTACACCCGGCTAATTTTTGTATTTTTAGTAAAGACTGGGCTTCACCATGTTGGCCAGGATGGTCTTGATCTCCTGACCCTATGTATTTTTTAATTGGCTTTTCCTTCTCTCTGTCATGTTCTCCAGGCCCTCACATTACTGTTTCCTACAGTCACTTCCCAAATAAAATAAAATGCCTACATACCTTTGTACTAGGCTCTGTTTTTAGAGAAAACCCAGGTTAAGAGAAATTTGGTTTAAATATTAGTAATAATGTATAAAAATAAAGTATAGCCCCCCAAACAAGCAATCATTAATCCCAAAGGAAAGAAAATGCTGTTCTTGAAAGGAAGAGTAATCATAGTACCACACACAGCTAAACTTAAAGTAGCAGGTGGGCAGTCATCACAACAAAGGCTGAGTGGTAATCTTACCTCACTGTTGTATGAGAAGATTAGATTGCTGCAAGAATGTGGATGAGAAGTGTGGATAGCTGTTGTATGGTACAATAAGAAACATCCCATGCCTGTAAGATTAATGATGGCCATAAAGCCCACTCAAACATCTCATGGGGTCTACACTATGTTTCACTTAGCAGTATGATGTAACCTGGCCTGGGGATTTCCAGCCCTGGCCGGGGGATGATTACTGGGTCCCTATGAAAATAAGACCTAAAAACCCTGATTGCCTAGGCCACCTCAGCACATATGCCACTTTCATGAATCTTAAAACAAATCTTACCCTTATATGATGAAAATTCCTCTATGAAAGAAACACCTAATGACTGAAGCCAGATTAAATACAGGAATAAAAAAGGAGGAAGAATCCCCCAAACAATGAGAACAGTCTGTGGATGAAGACCCTCCCCATCAGGTGGTCATCTGACCCTGACTGTATCTGGCCTGTGCCGCCAGCCTGCTCCCGCTATCCCTCTCGTAAGAGCACTGCCAGAATGAACTGCTGGAGCATCAGACAGTGCTGAAGACTCACCTTGGATGCTGAATGAACAGAAGGCGAACAGCTGCGTCTGGAGAAGCTGGTTCACTAGGACCACCCGAGACTACTGAAGATCAGCTTCAGTAGTATCCAGTTATCAAACTGGATACAAGAATGAGATTTGTGTAAGCAAATGAGTAACCACACCCATTCTCACGGGAAAAGCAGGAGGGTAGAAAACTTTAAGAAATACCCAAAATTAATATGTGTTAACAGGTTGCCACTGCTCCATTGTCCAGAGTTGGGGCAAGTCGTTTATCCATGATCCCAACTTTTGTGCTGGAATACAAAAAGAGTAATTATTGGCTGGGCATGGTGGCTCATGCCTGTAATCCCAGCACTTTGGGAGGCCGAGGTAGGTGGATCGCGAGGTCAAGAGATGGAGAACAGCCTGGCCAACATGGTGAAACCTCGTCTCTACTAAAAATACTAAAATTAGCTAGGCGTGGTGGTGTGTGCCTGTAGTCCCAGCTACTCGGGAGGCTGAGGAAGGAGAATCCCTTGAACCTGGGAGGCGGAGGTTGCAGTGAGCCGAGATCATGCCACTGCACTCCAGTCTGGTGTCAGAGCAAGATTCCGTCTAAAAAAGAAAAGAAGAAAGAAGAAAAAAGAAAGAAGAAAGGAGAAGAAGACGAAAGAAGAAGAAAGAAGAAGAAGAAAAAGAGGAGGAAGAGCAGGAGGAGGAAGAGGAGGAGGAAGAGGAGGAAGAACAAGAGGAGGAAGAAGAAGAAGGAGAAGAAGAGGAAGAAGAAGAATTATTGTGAAAAGGTTATATTGTGAGTATAAAGAGTAATTATTTTGAAAATATTTTCTCACTTTCCATTTTATCTTTTAACTGTCTGCAAGAAAGATAGAAAATGGCACAAACCTAAATCATTCTCTCTGCTCTCCATCATCTATCTACTCTCCATATTACTCAAGAGTACTGCTTCAAGCCTTTTAAAATTCTGTATTCCAAAGAGAACCAGCTTCCAAAATATGAGTTATCAGGTCCTCTGAGTCTTGTTTGACATTTGACAACATCGGATACATTCCTCCAATGGCAACAGACAAGTGCAATCTTTTTAGGAAAAATAACCCATGTCTATTTTTGTTGTAGCTGAATTTTTGCATCCTCTTTTTTACCAGAAAAGGGATCTTGATACAAACCCCAAGAGAGTGTTCTTGGATCTTACACAGGAAAGAATTCAAGGTGAGTTGCAGAATAAAGTGGGAAGGGAGAGTTTATTGAAAGCCTCTAGGTTATAGAGTAAGGTATTCTCAGAAAGCAAGAACAGGAATGCCCCATCTTTGTTTTAAGTTTTTCTTACATATACATCTTCTTTATGTAAAGAATAAACTAAGCTTTGCCTATGTGCAGGTGGACTGACAGAATGACAAAATTTATTATTCTATTGATTTAAAGAAAACGATCCTTGACATTTTAGTGTACGAGTACATCAAAGCATAACTATAACTATCTTGAAAGCATATATTGTTATGGGCATTGGGACATCTGGACTGCCTGTTATTGTAGGAGTTTGTCCTTGCAGGCATTACCACGCTCTTTCCTTGGATGTGAACATGTTAGGACCATGAGTCATGACTGGCAAGGAATGTACCCTGCTAACTTGAAGACGGAGCTGATGTTAAAATGGTGTCACTCGGGCTCTCCTAGGCTTCTGCTTCCCTAACGCCCTTGAGGTGACTATTTTATTCTTGAGTATAAACTGTCAAATGCAAAAAGAAATGAAAGCATGTTCTGAAAATAGGATCCACTCTGTGGAATATACCCAAGTCATTTTCCTTCCTCATTCCCATGACCCGGATTCTACAGTTCCCACAGCAGAGCTGCCTGGACACTGGCCCTTCTAAGCCCACTTTCATTGATCTTTTTTATTTTTTATTTTTTATTACAACCATTGAATAGCCTCACACCTCACATTTTCAGGCAGTGAGCTCTGCTTTTTTGCATCTAGTGTGGGTTGATTTCCCATCTCAACATTAATCCCAAACTTTGTAAAGTACCTTTGTAAGGTGAGGCAGAAAGGCTGATTTCATCAGTTAGCCCAGGTACTCAAAGAAAATGTAGGCATTTATTTCTAAAACAATTGTATATGTTTAGGAAGGTAACTTTTGGATACAGTTACTGTCGACCTCAAACAATACTTGCCTGAAATCTCGTTGCATATTGACTACAGGGAATCAGACACTCCAAAGTTTGGGAGATGATGGTCCTGAACTCTAACAGGAATGATTTAGGTTGGTGTCATTTTCTGTCTTTGTTGCAGACAGTTAAAAGATAAAATGGCCTGGGTGCAGTGGCTCACACCTGTAATCCCAGCACTTTGGGAGGCCGAGGCAGGTGGATCAGGAGGTCAAGAGATTGAGACCATCCTGGCCAACATGGTGAAACCCCATCTCTACCAAACACACACACACACACACACACTAGCTGGGTGTGGTGGCACACACCTGTAGTCCCAGCTACTTGGGAGGCTGAGGCAGAAGAATTGCTTGAACCTAGGAGGCGGAGGTTGCAGTGAGCCGAGATTGCACCACTGCACTACAGCCTGGTGACAGAGCGAGATTCCATCTCAAATAATAATAATAATAAATAAATAATAAAATGGAAAGTAAGAAAATATTTTCAAAAGGTTATATTTTCTAGCAAACAATAAATGGATTAACTTGAACTCTCCAGAGTTACAAAAGGCAGGGAGCTCTCCATTGCTGAATGTGTTCCAGAAGAGGCTGGAAACTGAATAGAAAATTCATGAATCAGCTGGGTGCGGTGGCTCACGCCTGTAATCCCAGCACTTTGGGAGGCCGAGGTGAGCAGATCACAAGGTCAGCAGATCCAGACCATCCTGGCTAACACGGTGAAACCCCGTCTCTACTAAAAAAATACAAAAAAAATTAGCCAGGCGTGGTGGTGGGTGCCTGTAGTCCCAGCTACTCAGGAGGCTGAGGCAGGAGAATGGCTGAACCCAGGAGACGGAGCTTGCAATGAGCCGAGATCGCCCTACTGCACTCCAGCCTGGGCGACAGAGCGAGAATCCGTCTCAAAAAAAAAAAAAAAAATTCATGAATCAAAAGTGCAGTTGTGCTTCCAGCACATTAAAGCCTCTTCTAATCTCAAGACTGAAAAGTTAACAAAACCTTCTAACAATTTCATGGGTGAGAAACAAGCGACTCCTATGAGAAAGTAATTGGTAAAGTGGGGAGAGCCATGCAAATAAAATATACTCTTGTCACCATTCAAGGTCACTCCAAACCATAAGCCTATTCTGGAGGCTCCTGGATTAACTACAGAAATTAAAAATGGACAAATGCTTTCCCCACCTACATGCACAGATTAAATCGAGTGTTTCGATGCACCAAACAGAGGCATTTCTTTCTCTCTCCTGTTTTTGTTTTTGGCATCAGCTTCCATTCTCCCTACTTTTCCAGCCATGTTCCTCAAGCAGGAACTCAGGGAGAGGCCTCCTCCCTTTGGTTGATGAGTGTGATGAATGCGATGGGGTGACTCCTACCGGACCCCAACATGATTGTCTTTGATTACAAGCTTCCACTGCTTTTTTAAAAGGGGGAGCTAAAAAATTGAATACACTTTCCTTGTTATCCAAAAACATCAGGATGGGCAAGAACAGCAGAGCTGCCCCATGAGGTGAGGCCAATCTTCCCACCTTATCTGTCAGTCACTTTTCTCATTAGAAGCACTGATTGTCTTAGGAGTGCAGGCTTATTTCCTTCTGGGTTATGATCTCTTCAATCTGACAATCTGCAGGAGATTTCTTAAGAACCTAATTGATTTACTGAACATGACACGTAAAATTTAACAGCCCAAATAATCAAAATGTTTTTGTGAGCTAAGCAGGATAATATCATTTTTTTAAAAAAGTCTGGTTATAGTACTTCTTATTGTAAAAAACAGTTGACATATGCTGTTTTTTATATTTCAAAGCAATGTTGTTTTAAAGAGAAATTTAATATGTCTTCCATAAAGAATGATACTGTAGGGGTGGGGAGAGGAAACTGGAGAAGGAAAGCAAAGTTGAGAAGTTTATTCAGTTTATTCAATACAGAAGCTAACACACAGTTTTATTATTTCACATATGAGTGTGATAATGGCAAGAATTCCAGGATGCAGCGGCTGGACCGCCTGCTCAGTCTCACAAGGCTGAAATAAAGATGCAAGTTAATGTTTTCTTCCCTAGACCCCAGGCTCCTCTTCCAAGCTTACTCCTGCTATTGGCAGGATTAAATTCCTGGCATTGGAGGACTGGGGTCCTGGTTTCCTTGTTGGCTGCCAGCCAGGACCTGTCTTGCACCCTTCAGGCCACCCTCATTCCTGCTCTCTTGGCTCCCTCCGTTTCTGAACAGCAGTACACACTGCGTCATTCTCATACTCTGAATCTCTCTGACTTCTTCTACCAGTCAAAAAAAACACTCTGCTTCAAAACTGTGTGATGACATTAGGCCCACCAGATAGTGTCCCTACTCTACAGTCAACTGTGCCATATGACACAACATAGTCATGGGATTCCCTATTCTCGTGGGCTCTGAGGGATTCGGGTGTGAAATCATGGGATCACATTGCGAATTCTGTCTACCACACATACGTAGAGAAAATATTTATTGGTTCATTTTATTTCTTATCAGATTTTTCTTTCTTCTCAATGAAATCAATATTTACTGTGCAATTGTGATACACCCCGCATGGATCAAGAGCTCTGCAGGAAAATTCCCACTGATGTATTTTACTGCCACCACCACAGTGCATACTCACAGATCACAAAATAGACCTCAGCAAATGTATTATAAAATGTGACCCAACAGGCTGGGCACGATGGCTCACTCCTGTAATCCCAGCACTTTGGGAGGCTGAGGTGGGCGGATCACGAGGTCAGGAGATCCAGACCATCCTGGCTAACACAGTGAAACCCCGTCTCTACTGAAAATACAAAAAATTAGCCGGGTGTGGTGGCGGGTGCCTGTAGTCCCAGCTACTCTGGAGGCTGAGGCAGGAGAATGGCGTGAACCCAGGAGGCGGAGCTTGCAGTGAGCCGAGATCCAGCCACTGCACTCCAGCCTGGGAGACAGAGCGAGACTCTGTCTCAAAAAAAAAAAAAAAAAAAAGCAGAACTGCTCACAGCTGTCCTAAAACCTCCTGATTGCCCATTGCCCATCAAAGCCTCCACATGTGCCTCCACCAGGAAAGTGTGTTCTTTCCACATGCTTGCTGATATCACAGACTTAACCTTCAACCTCAGGCTCTGAGGTTCACCCTGTCCTTCATCTTCATTTCACTGATCAACTCACGTTTCTCCTTTACTCCTATATGTGGAGTCCTATATGTGGAGTCCTATCATGACACACATGTTCCCATGTGTCATGACAGGACTCCACAGGACATGAGAGCTGTTTAACAAGACTGTGCTGGGCAGGCTGGGCGTGGTGGCTCACGCCTGCAATCCCAGCACTTTGGGAGGCCAAGGCAGGCGGATCATGAGGTTAGGAGATGGAGACCATCCTGGCTAACACGGTGAAACCCCATCTCTACTAAAAAAAATACAAAAACAAAATTAGCCGGGTGTGGTGGCGGGCTACTTGGGAGGCTGAGGCAGGAGAATGGCATGAACTCAGGAGGTGTAGCTTGCAGTGAGCTGAGATGGCACCACTGCACTCCAGCCTGGGTGACAGAGGGAGACTCTGTCTTAAAAAAAAAAAAAAAAAAAAAAGACTCTGCTGGGCAGTAGTGATGCTTGTGCATAGGCAAGCCTGCATTTCCCAGCCCTTAACATTAGGCAGGGCCTCATGACTAGTTCTGATCAATGAAATGTGAGCAAAAGTGAGGCCAATGCTGTCAAAGTCCCAGTGTGGTTCTCTGTTCTCTTTCTCCTGCTGCAGCAACCAGAAAGGCCATAAATTCCACCAGAAGCAGTGACAAGAGGATGGAGCCGTTGTCAGCCTAGACTCCTGAGTGTCAGTGTGAAACAGAGCTCCCCATCCACCCTCACTGGACATCTAGCATGAATGAGAAATAATCCTTTTTTTTCTTTTTTTTTTTTTTGAGACGGAGTCTTGCTCTGTCACCCAGGCTAGAGTGCAGCAGCACAATCTCAGCTCACTGCAACCTCTGTTTCCCAGGTTCAAGCAATTTTCCTGCCTCAGCCTTCCAAGTAGCTGGGATTACAGGCACCCGCCACCACACCCGGCTAATTTTTGTATTTTTAGTGAGAAGGAGTTTCACCATGTTGGCCAGGCTGGTCTCAAACTCTTGACCTCATGATCTACCCGCCTCGGCCTCCCAAAGTGCTGGGATTACAGGCATGAGTCACTGCGCCTAGCCCCTTTGTTGTTTTAACCTACAGAAATTTTGAAATTGCTTTACCAGTGCTTAATGTAAATTGTCCCGATTAAAATAAAAACTAAAGAACAGTATTTAAATGTGACATAATCAAGCATTCTCTTTTACCTATGGAAATATTTTAAGTGAATTCTGATAATCCACAATTCATGTAATGTTTTAAATTTTAAATTTCACAGTTTGTTTCACACTTCTCTGAAATACTTTTTTTCTCCATAGCTCAGCATACTGATTTTCACAAAGACATGTAATGTATACAGTAACATTTTAAACGTGGCTTTGAGAGATGAGATGAGAGCTGAAGCAGAGAGGTGCTAACGGCTCCAGTCACTGAGGGGCAGTGAGAAAGCAGATCGAAGGGAGGAGGATGAGTGTGACGGTTACTGTCATGTGTCAACTTGACTGGGCCACAGGATGCCCAGATAGTGGGTTAAACATTTCTGGGCATGTCTGTGAGGGTGTTTTCAAAAGAGGTATATATCTCATTAACTTTTTAATTGGCGTACTGAGTAAGGCAGATTGCCCTCCTCAATGTGAGTGGGCCCCATCCAATCCACTGAGGACTTGAATAGAACAAAAATGTCAGAGGAAGTGAGAATTCTGTCTCTGCCTTTCCCTGCCTGACTGCTCGATCCAGGACATTGCTTGGTTTCTGTCCTTGAACTCAGACTTACACCATCAGTGCTCCTGATTCTCAGGCTTTCGGACTCAGACTGGAACTATACCACCAGCTTTCCTGGGTCTCTGTCTTACAGACACAAGACAGAAGATTCTCAGCCTCCACAATTTCAGAAATGCCCCCAGTGAGTGCTGGAAATCTCTGATCAAGTGATTTCGGAGTGGTATACTGCCTAAGACTTCATTGTGTTGGAAAACCACTCACCATTACCCCTAGCAACTCAGTAGCAAATGTTGACTTCCTGTTTTCACAATCTTATGCTCTACTATAGAGGATATAGTAACTACCTAGAGGTTATAGTAACAGAGGGATGAATGCTCCCACCAGGAGACGCAACAACGACTCTACTGAACTGGAGGTTAAGAATGTCACCTGGCCACTTTGGGTTATTCGTGACTCTGAATCAACTGGCAAAGAAGGGAGTTATTGTGCTGGTTGGGGTGATTAATCCTGACTACCAAGAGAAAATTGGACTACTATTCCACAATGGAGATAAAGAAGAGTATGTCTGGAACATAGGAGGTCCCTCGAGGCACCTTTCAATATTATCATGCCTGGTGGTTAAGGTTGATGGAAAACTACAACAAACCAATCCAGGCAGGAACACTCATGGCCTAGACCCTTCAGGAATGAAGGTTTGGGCCACCACGTAAAGCAAAGAGCCATGTAGTGCTAGAGGGCTTACCGGAGGAAACAGCAATACTGAACTGTTAAAGGAAGAAGCTAATTATAAACACTAACTACAGCCACAAGACAAATTATAGAAATGAGAACTTTGTCACATATATATCTTTCTTTTTTTTTTTTTTTTTTTTTTTTTCCGAGATGGAGTCTCTCTCTGTCGCCCAGGCTGGAGTGCAGTGGTGTGATCTCGGCTCACTGCAAGCTCTGCCTCCCGGGTTCACGCCATTCTCCTGCCTCAGCCTCCCAAGTAGCTGGGACTACAGGCGCCCACCACCATGTCCGGCTAATTTTTTTTGTATTTTTAGTAGACAGAGGGTTTCACCATGTTAGCCAGGATGGTCTCGATCTCCTGACCTCGTGATCTGCCCTCCTTGGCCTCCCAAAGTGCTGGGATTACAGGCGTGAGCCACCGCGCCTGGCCGTCATATCTATATATTTCTTATTTAATTATAAATACACTTGTGTGTGTGTATGTGTGTGCGTGTGTGTGCGTGTGTGTGTGTGTCCTATTGGCTTTGTTTCTCTGGGAAGCTCTAACACAAAGAGGGTAATATGGTAATATTGTGACACTGGTAAGTGGTACAAACATCAGAGGTGCCAGGCTTTTCAAGGGTAGAAAAAGAAGAAATGATTTGGAAGTCGTAATGAGGCCTATGGAATTGGAGGGGGGATGATGACTAGAGAGAGGCCAATTTTCAATTAAGGCAAGAAATGGGAGAGAAGGTTTAAGTAAAGGATGTCTATATGGAAACTATACTGATCAGGAATTCCACAGAGCACAGAGAAAGGGTTTGAAGAGGAGAAGACTGATGGAAGATGGAGTCAGATTGAGGAACATTCACAAAAGTGGTGAAGGGTAAGGGTGAGAGAGGGAAATTCCAGGAGCCTGTGACAGCGGTAGGTGGGGAGGTGAGGGTCCAGATCTGTTTTCATGGGGAAAGAGCATAATAGGTTTATCATTAATGTAAGTACCCAGCCTGCTGGTGTGGCTGCCTTATGGTAACTGTGCCCTCTAAAAGACCACGTCTCTCATAAGCACCAGGAGTGTTTTGAACATGGTAGGCAAAAACTATGAGTGTGTTAATTTGAATTTAATTTCTTAGCAAATTCTGTGAAAAGACGAAGATGATTAATTCCACTTTTTTTGTATTTTCTTGTGGGCAGGAAGATCCTCCCAACTGCATATCCTGCTGCAGTATTTCCTCCCCCTGTGAGCTCACAGGCTTCTTGGTGTAATAGAATGACTCTGTTACAATTCTGTTGGCTGGAGGTTTCACCTGAGTTTCACAGCGAAGGCCAGGAGGAACTTTTAGTCAAAGCAGCAGATGTTTTTCTTTCCTGTATGTAAGTAGGAGTTTGAGTGGATCTTGGGACCTCATTGCACAAATGAAGCCAACTGAGATGCTTAAATATATATAAACATATGTCAGATGATTTTAACTTTTTCCACACTGGGCCAGGAGACCTCCAAATCAAGGTAGCACAGCAAGTTCATGCTTCAAAATTTCCCTCTTCTTTGCAAACAACAATAATAAATAAATCAAAAGAGGACACTGTCAAACAGACAGCAGGTCCAAAATGCAAAATAAAATGCCCGTGCCTTGGGATAGATGTGTGGAGAAGGAAGGGAAAGAACAGAGAAAAAGAAATGCCCCAAACACTTACCAATTAAAATCCATTTATATGTTATTAGCCAACCAAATATAGTATGGGTATTTTTTTAGAACTCAATAAACAGAGACCCCTAGAGGTATTTTTTCCTTGGTAGGTCCTTCATAGTTTTATGACAACAGTGTCCCTCTGTGCCCTGCCAGTCCTAACTCACCTCAAAAATGACTAAATATTTTCATGAACAAAGTACCTAATTCTGGCCATACCACTAATTTTATTCACTTGCTTTTACATTTCTGGGCCTCGGTTTCTTTCTCTAAATGAGGATATTGGACTAGAATTTTTAAATATTTTTGGAGCACTCTAATTTTATCTTTCTACTTTCATAATGATATTAAAATATTTCAAATATGCTTGAGATTCTCATGGTTGTTATTTATATGTATTGGTTTAAGTAAGAAGAAATATGGTAAAAGTATTAAATATACTACAATAAAATGATTGTTTTAGTATTCCCAAACAGACAACAAACATAATTACACTGCAAGAAACTCAAGTGAAATATAGATTTGAAATTCTTATTACTAATCACATCCAAATTGAGATTAACTTCTTAAACATGTAGAGGAAAATCTTAATCTATCCAAATAAATAATATGCCTCTAGCAAGAAGAAAGACTTCCTTTTGGGTTGAGTTTTACAGATTATTCCCTTACTTCTCCTTAGTCAATACCTATTTAAAGCAGATGCATCTGACTCATTTAAAGTATCCAGTCAGGAATATGAAGGCCAAATCCACATCTTCCAAGCATGAAGCAAGGAAATAAGGTATAATGATTTTCTGTCAATGAAGCTCATGCATGAAATAAAACTGGGACTCACCATGCAGACTCAAAGCACACAATGACCAAAGGGCCAGAGATCGATCCAAGGTGACTACAACACAGCCCACAATGAAAAAGTCAGGAAAGTGCCTCTGTAAATCCATGCAAAGAATGAGAAAAATAGGAGGTAAAATAAAACTGATGAGTAATAGTATTAAACTTTGCACAAGTCCTGGAAATACAGCACAGTACAACCATGGATCCAATTAGGGGCATCTGGGCTTTTCTCGCCTCTTGAGTTAGAATCAGTTAGAACAGCATTGGTTCACAAAAATTGCATACCTGGCCGAAAAAAGTAGCTCTTGGTAATTATTTCCAAATGGCTGGAGAAAAGAAAGAGGTAACATAAAACATGTGATTGAAGAGTACTGCAGCCTTGGGGCAGAAGGCTGTAAGGAAGATGGTGAATAGGACTTTCTAGCTCTTGCTCCCCTGCAGAAACATCAATTGGAACAACTATCCATGCATAAAACCACCTTCACAAGAACTAAGGAAACCAGGTAGGAGATTTCAGAAAGGATGCACTAAAGAGATAGAAAGGACAGTTGGAGTAGTAGCCCGACTGTAGCTGATCAGTAGCCCCAGACTTTGGACAAACCCCAACTCCAGGCTATCCCCCACAGACTCAGGCTCTAGGCCCACCCCAGGGCCAGGCAGCCAAAGGCTCTGGACTGCTTGCAGCACCAGGCTGGTCCCCATGGTCCCAGGATTCAGACCTACCCAAGAACCAGGCCAACTGCTACAGCTCTCATCTCCAAACAGGCACCCACAGACCCACTCTTCATATTTTCCCCTGCAGCCACACATTACAGCAGACCCACAGCCCAGTTTCTTCCTGGCAGACTCCAGCACTGGATTAGCCCCCATGGACCCAGGCTCCAAGATGACCCCTGTAGACTCAGGTTTCAGGCCAGCACCTGGAGCCCCCAGACAAAGGTCAACCCTAATGGTCCTAGCCTCCAGGCCAACACCCACACACCCAGCCCCTAGGACAACATTGTTTAAAGAAATAATCACTAAAAAATTCTTAAACCTGGGGAATAATATCAAGGTATAAGGACCAAATGTCTCCAATCAGATTCTATCCAAACAAGACTATAACAAAATGTATTATAATCAAACTATCAAAAATCAAAGACAAAGAGAGAATCCTAAAAGCAGCAAGAGAATAGAAATAAATCACATATATGAGAGTTCCAATAAGGCTAGCAGTATATTTCTTAGCAAAAACCTTACATGGCAGGAGAGAGCAAGATGATATATTCAAAGCCTCAAAGAAAAAAATCTGCCAACTAAGAATACTGTACCTGCCAAAGCAGTTCTTCACAAATAAAAGTGAGATAAAGACTTTTCCAGACAAATAAAAGCTGACTTGTCTCACAAGAAATCCTAAAGGAAGCTCTTCAGGCTGAAAGAAAGAAAAGAATGCTCATTGGTGTCATGGAAACATGAGAAAGTATAAAACTCACTGCTAAAAGTAAGTACACAGTCAAATTCAGAATATTCTAATACTGCAGTGATGGTAAGTAAATCATCTGTGTCTTTAGTATGAAGATTAAATAAATATGTATTAAAAATAATAGCTATAATAATTTGCTAAGGGATATACAATTAAAAATATAAATTATGACATCAAAGCATAAATTGGGGGCAAGGGGATGGAGTAAAAGTGGAGACTTTTTTCTATGTGATCAAAGTTAAGTTGTTACCAAATATAAACAGTCCATTATAAGAGGTTTTATGTAAGCCTAATGGTAACTACAAAATAAAAACTTATAGTAGATACACAAAGCAAAAATAAACAAAGTCAAAAATTGTTACAAGAAATGAATTAAGGTCATTATATATTGATAACTCATAAATTTATCAAGAATATAAAATACTTATAACTGTATAGACACCAAAAATCAGAACTCCAAAATACATGAAACAAACATCGATAGACTTGAAGGAAGAAGTAGATAGTACTACAATAATTGTTGGAGACTTCAATACCCCACTGCATTTGGCAAATTATATGCCCCATATCACTTGAATGTGGTCTGGCCTTGCCAAAGCTCATGTGGAAACTTGATCCTCCATGTAACACTGCTAAACGGAGGAGCCCACTGGGAGGTGTTTGGGTCAGTGGGTGTATCTCTCTCTCTCTTGCTTTCTTTTTCACCACGTGATCTCTTTGCACACGCCCACACCCCATCCACTTTCTGCCATGAGTGGAAGCAGCATGAGGGAGGCCCTCACTAGATGCAGCTGCTCAATCTTGAACCTTCAAGTCACCAGAATCATGGGCCAAATAAACCTCTTCTCTTTATAAATTACCTAGTCACAGGTAGTCTGTTACAGCAACACTAAATGGACTCAAACAGTCACTTTCAATAACAGATAGAACATCTAGACAGAAGATCAATAAAGAAATAGAGGACTTGAAAAACACTGTAAATCAACAAGACCTAACAGACATATAGAAAATACTCCACGAGGCCAGGCGCGGTGGCTCACGCCTGTAATCCCAGCACTTTGGGAGGCCGAGGCGGGCTGATCACGAGGTCAGGACATCAAGACCATCCTGGCTAACACGGTGAAACCCCGTCTCTACTAAAGAATACAAGAAAAAAATTAGCCAGGTGTGGTGGCGGGCACCTGTAGTCCCAGCTACTTTGGAGTCTGAGGCAGGAGAATGGCGTGAACCCGGGAGGCGGAGCTTGCAGGAAGCCGAGATCTGCGGCACTGCACTCCAGCCTGGGCGACAGAGCAATACTACGTCTCAAAAAGAAAAAAAAAAGAAAATACTCCACTAAACAATTGCAAAATACACAAAGCACGTGGATCATGTGTCAGGGTAGGCCATAAAACAAGTTTCAATAAATGTAAAAAGATAAAGTTATGTAAATTATCTTCTCTGACAAATACAGAATGAAACTAAAAATCAATAACAGAAGAAAAACTGGAAAATTTACAAATATGTAGAAATTAACACAATTTTAAGCAGCCTATAGGTCAAATAAAAAGTTATAAGGGATATTAGAAAATATTTTGAGCCAAATGAAAATGAAAACATGATATACCCAAATTATGAATGTAGTCAAATCATTGCTCAGGCCAGGTGTGGTGGCTCACGCCTGTAATCCCAGCACTTTGGGAGGCCAAGGCAGGCAGATCACCTGAGGTCAGGAGTTTGAGACCAGCCTGGCCAACATGGTGAAACCCCGCTTCTACTGAAAGTACAAAAATTAGCCAGTTGTGGTGGCAGGTGCCTGTAATCCCAGTTACTTGGGAGGCTGAGGCAGGAGAATCGCTTGAACTTGGGAGGCAGAGGCTGCAGTGAGCCGAGACTGCGCCACTGCACTCCAGCCTGGGTGACAGAGCAAGACTCCGTCTCAAAAAAAAAAAAAAATTACAAACTATTTTATGCCAACAAGTTAGATAACCTAGATGAAATTAGCAAATTCCTAGAAACACACAATCTATCAAAATTGACTCGAGAATAGAAAATCTGAATAGACCTATAACAAGTGAAGTAATTCAATCAGTAATTAAAACTTACCACCAACAACAAAAAATTTCAGGACCAGATAGCTTCTCTGATTAACTCTACCAAACATTTAAAGAGGGATTCACACCTATTGATATAATCGTATAGTTTTTGTTTAATTTTGTTTATGTGATGTATCACATTTATTGACTTGTGTATGTTAAACCATCCTTGCATCCCTGATATAAAACCCACTTGATCATGATGCATTATCTTTTTCATATGCTGTTGGATTCAGTTAGCTAGTATTTTGTTGGGGATTTTTGCATCTATGTTCAGGGATATTGGTTTGTAGTTTGTTTGCTTTGTTATGTCCTCTCCTCCTTTTGGTATTAGGGTGATACTGGCTTCCTAGACTGATTTATGGAGGATTCCCTCTTTCTCTATCTTTTGGAATAGTTTCAGTAGGATTGATAACCAGTTCTTCTTTGAATGTCTGATAGATTTCAACTGTTAATCCATCTGGTTCTCGATTCTTTTTTTGTTGGCAGTGTTTTGTTTTGTTTTTTTAATCACTGATCAATCTTGCTGCTTGTTATTGGTCTGTTCAGGGTTTCTATTTCTTCCTGATTTAGTCTAGGAGGGTTGTATATTTCCAGCAGTTTATTCATCTCCTCTAGACTTTCTAGTCTGTGCATGTAAAGGTGTTTATAATATCCTTGAACGATCTTGTGTATTTCTGTGGTATTGGTTGTACTATCTCCAGTTTCATTTCTACTTGAGGTTATATGAATCTTTTCTCTTCTTGGTTAATCTCCCTAATGGTCATCAACTTTGTTTATCATTTCAAAGAACCAGCTTTTCATTTCATTTATCTTTTGTATTTTTTGTTTCAATTTCATTTAGTTCTCTTCCATCTTTGTTATTTCTTTTCTTCTGCTGAGTTTCAGTTTAGTTTGTTCTTGTTTCTCTAGTTCCTTCAGGTATGACATTAGGTTTTCTATTTGTGTTCTTTCAGACTTTTTGACGTAGGCATTTAATGCTATAAACTTTCCTCTTAGCACCAGTTTTGCTGTATCCCAGAAGTTTTGATAAGTTGTGCCATTGTTCTCATTCATTTCAAAGAATTTTTAATTCCTATCTTGATTTCATTGTTAACCACCAAATCATTCAAGAACAGATTATGTAATTTCCATGTATTTATATCATTTTAAGTGTTCTTTCCGGAGTTGCTTTCCAGTTTTATTCCACTATGGTCTGAGAAAATACTTGATATGATTTCAATTTCGTTAAATTTGTTGGGACTTGTTTTGTAACCTATCATAGGTTATCTTGGAGAACGTTCCATGTGCTGATGAAAAAAAAATGTATATCCTGCAGTTATTGGGAAGAATGTTTTGCAATTATCTGTTAAGTCCATTTCTTCTAGGGTATAGTTTAAGTCCATTATTTCTTTGTTGACTTTCTGTCTTGATGACCTGTCTAGTGCTGTCAGTGGAGTATTGAAGTCCCCCACTATATTTGTACTGCTGTTTATCTCATTTCTTAGGTCTAGTAGTAATTGTTTTATAAATTTGGAAGCTCCAGTGTTAGGTGCATATAAATTTAGGATCATAATATCTTCCTGTTTGACTAATCCTTTTATCATTATATATAAATCCAGCATTCCTTTATAATAAAAACCTTCCACAAAATAAGCATAGAAGGGACATATCTTAAAGTAATAAAAGCCATATATGACAAACCCATATGCAACATCATACTGAATAGGGAAAAGCTGAAAGCATTCCCCCTGAGAACTGGAACAAGACAAGGATGCCCACTTTTACTGCTTCTACTTAACACAGTACTGGAAGTGCTGGCCAGAGAAATCAGACAAGAGAAAGAAATAAAGGGCATCCAAACTGGAAAAGAGGAAGTCAAACTGTTGCTGTTCACTGCTGATATAATTCTATACCTAGAAAACCTTAAAGACTCATCTGAAAAGCTCCTAGACCTAACAAATGAATTCAATAAAGTCTCAGGATACAAAATAAATGTACATAAATCAGTAACACTGCTATACACCAACAGTGACCAAGCTAAGAATCAAATTAAGAATTCAATTCAGCCAGGCATGGTGGCTCATGTCTGCAATCCTCAGCACTTTGGGAGGCTGAGGCAGGTAGATCACCTAAGGTCATGAGTTCGAAACCAGCCTGGCCAACATGGAAAAACCCACTCTTTACTAAAAATACAAAAATTAGCCGGGCACATTGGTGGGCACCTGTAATCCCACTTACTCAGGAGGCTAAGGCAAGAGAATCACTTGAACCTGGGAGGCAGAGGTTGCAGTGAGCTAAGATTGCACCATTGCACTCCAGCCTGGGCGACAGAATGAGACTCCATCTCAAAAAAAAAAAAAAAAAAAAAAGAATTCAATCCCTTTTACAACTTCAAAAGTAAAACAAAATACTTACAAATATATTTAACCAAGGAGGTGAAAGATCTCTACAAGGAAAACTACAAAACACTACTGAAAGATTCATAGATGACACAAACAAATGGAAACACATCCCACACTCACAGATGGGTAGAATAAATATTGTGAAAATGACCATACTGTCCAAAGCAATCTACAGATTCAATGCAATTCCCAACAAAATACCGTCATCATTCTTTATAGAACCAGAAAAAGCAATCCTGAAATTCATATGGAACCAAAAAAGAACCTGCATAGCCAAAGCAATACTAAGCAAAAAGAACAAATCTGGAGGCATCACATTACCCAACTTCAAATTATACTACAAGGCTAAAGTCACCAAAACAGCATGGTACTGGTATAAAAGTAAGCACATAGACCAATGGAATAGAACAGAGAACACATAAATAAAGCCAACATACTTACAGCCAACTGATCTTCAACAACACAAACAAAAACATAAATTGGGGAAAGGACACTCTATTCAATAAGTGGTGCTGGGAAAACTGGGAAGCCACACATAGAAGAATGAAACTGAATCCTCATCTCTCACTTATACAAAAGTCAACTCAAAATGGCTTAAATCTAAGAAAACTTAGACTTAAATCTAAGACCTGAAGCCATAAAAATTTTAGAAGATAACATCAGAAAAAGTCTTCTAGACATTGGCTTAGGCAAAGAATTCTTGACTATGACCCCAAAAGCAATGCAACAAAAACAAAAATAAATACATGACACCTAATTAAACTAAAAAGCTTCTACTACAAAGTAAAAGAAATAATCAGCAGAGTAAACAGACAACCTACAGATTGGGAGAAAGTATTTGCAAATTATGCATTTGACAAAGGACTGATATCCAAAATCTACAAGAACTCAAACAAATCAACAGTAAAAAATAATAATAGTTCCATGAAAAAGTGGGCAAAGGACATGAATAGACAATTGTCAAAAGAAAATATACAAACATCCAACAAAGTGAAAAAAATGCTCAGCATCACTAATTATCAGGGAAATACAAATTAAAACCACAATGAGATATCACCTTTCTCTTGCAAGAATGGCCATAATTAAAAAGTCAAAATACAATAGATGTTGGCGTGGATGTGGTGGAAAGGTAACACATCTACACTGCTGGTAGGAATGTAAACTAGTACAACCACTATGGAAAACAGTATGGAAAAACTAGTTTTCCACTGCGGAAAACACAGATTTTTTTTTTGGTTTTTTATTTTATTTATTTATTTATTTTTTGAGACAGAGTCTTGCTCTGTTGCCCAGGCTAGACTGCAGTGGCACCATGTTGGCTCACTGCAAGCTCCACCTCCCAGGGTTCACGCCATTCTCCTGCCTCAGCCTCCCGAGTAGCTGGGACTACAGGCACCCGCCACCATGCCCGGCTAATTTTTTGTATTTTTTAGTAGAGACAGGGTTTCACCGTGTTAGCCATGATGGTCTTGATCTCCTGACCTCGTGATCTGCCTGCCTAGGCCTCCCAAAGTGCTGGGATTACAGGCGTGAGCCACTGCGCCAGGCCAGAAAACAGTTTTAAAGGACCAAAAGTAGAACTACCATTCGATCCAGCAATCCTGCTATTGGGTAAGTAC